>NC_000017.11:2763838-2915353 GCF_000001405.40 Homo sapiens | reverse complement strand
GGGGCTGAGGTGGAAGGATGGCTTGAGCCCAGGAGGTTGAGGCTGCAGTGAGCTCTGTTCGCACCACTGCACTCCAGCCTGGGCAACAAAGTGAGACCTTGTATCCAAAAAATAAAAACAAGAAAAGAAATGGGCCAGAAATGGTGGCTCAAGCTTGTAATCCCAACAATTTGGGAGCCCAGGCAGGAGGATCACTTGAGGCCAGAGTTTGAGACCAACCCGGGCGACATAGTGAGTCCCCATCTCTATTTCTAAAAAGAAGAAGGCCGGACGCAGTGGCTCACGTCTGTAATCCCAGCACTTTGGGAGGCCGAGGCGGGCGGATCACGAGGTCAGGAGTTCAAGACCAGCCTGGCCAACATGGTGAAACCTTGTCTTTACTGAGAATAAAACAATTAGCTGGGCGTGGTGGCGGGCACCTGTAATCCCAGCTACTCGGGGGACTGAGGCAGGAGAATCGTTTGAACCCAGGAGGTGGAGGTTGTAGTGAGCCGAGATGGCGCCATTGCACTCTAGCCTGGGTGACAGAGCAAGGCTCCGTCTCAAAAAAAAAAAAAAAGAAGTGGCCGGGCACAGTGGCTCGCACCTGTAATCCCAGCACTTTGGGAGGCCGAGGTGGGTGGATCACAAGGTCAGGAGATTGAGACCATCCTGGCTAACACGGTGAAACCCCGTCTCTACTAAAAATACAAAAAATTTGCCGGGCGTGGTGGCGGGCGCCTGTAGTCCCAGCTACTCGGGAGGCTGAGGCAGGAGAATGGTGTGAACCCAGGAGGCAGAGCTTGCAGTGAGCTGAGATCGGGCCACTGCACTCCAGCCTGGGCGACAGAGCGAGACTCTGCCTCAAAAACAGAAGAAGAAGAAAAGAAACGAACTTGACTAGAATATGTAAAGAACGCCTACAAGAAGACTACCGAATTTAAAGGAAGGAGGAAGGGAAAAAAGAACTATAAGAATAGTCAATAAGCATATGAAAAATATTCAACATCATTAGTCATGAGAAAATGTGGATTAAAACCACAATGAGATACCGTTCAAGTAGCTAAAATTGTCAAAACCAACAATGGCAAATGTTGATGAGGATGCAGAGCAGCGAGAACTCAAATGACACTGCTGGTGAGGATATAAGATGGCCTGACCATTTGGCAAACAGTGTAGCAGTTTCATATAAACAGTCACCGGCCAGGCATGGTGGCTCTCGCCTGTAATCCCAGCACTTTGGGAGGCCTGAGGAAGGCGGATCACTTGAGGTTGGGAGTTCGAGACCATCCTGGCCAACATGGTGAAACCCCGTCCCTATTAAAAATACAAAAAACTTAGCCGGGAGTGGTAGTGGGCACCTGTAATCCCAGCTACTGGGGAGGCTGAGGCAGGAGAATCCCTTGAACCCGGGAGGCGGAGGCTGCAGTGAGCAGAGATTGCGTCACTGCTCTCCAGCCTGGGCAACAGAGCGAGACTCCACCTCAAAAAAAAAAAATTAAGTTCTAGAACAGACAAAACTCACTTTTGAAAAAAATCAGAACACTGTTTGCTCCTCAAGGGGGCAGTTATGATTGACTGGGTCAGGACAATGGGAACTTTCTGGGGTTGCAGAAATGTCCTGTTTCTTGATCAAGGTATGGCTCACGTGGGTGTATCATTAGTCAAAGTATACAATACAATTAAGACTTACGCATTTCTGTGTCTGCAAATTTTTAAAAATCCAGTTACACCTAGAGTAATCTTCCAGAAGCATAAGCAAGTTGGCCTTAAAACATGAACAGAAGGCCGAGTGTGGTGGCTCACGCCTGTAATCCCAGTACTTTGGGAGGCTGAGGCCGGCGGATCACCTGAGGTCAGGAGTTTGAGAGCAGCCTGACCAACATGGTGAAACCCCATCTCTACTAAAAATACAAAAATTAGCTGGGCATGGTGGCGTGTGCCTGTAATCCCAGCTACTCGGGAGGCTGAGGGAGGAGAATCGCTTGAACCCAGGAAGCAGGGGTTGCAGTGAGCTGAGATTACGCCACTGCACTCCAACCTGGGTGACAAGAGCGAGATTCCATCTCAAAAAAAAAAGAGAACAGAATTAGGGAAAATAGGCACATGCTCAGGTGTGCACAGGTGAGGAGGGAAATGCATGCAGGTAAGTAGGTGCACATGCAGACATCTTCATGTTTTCTTTTTCTTTTTTTTTGAAACAGGATTTTGCTCTGTCACCCAGGCTAGAGTGCAGTGGTGCAATCATAACTCACTGCAAGCTCAATCTCCTGGGCTCAATCCATCTTCCCACCTTGGCCTCCAGAGTAGCTGGGACTATAGGCATGAGCCAATAGGCCCAGCTAATTTTTTAATTTTTTGTAGAAATGGGGTCTCACTGTGTTGCCCAGGCTGGTCTCAAACTCCTGGCCTCAAGGGATCCTCCTGCCTCAGCCTCCCAAAATGCTGGGATTTCAGGCATGTGCCACCATGCCCAGCCAACATCTCCATGTTCTTAAAGCCTCCTAGTTAGCATCCTCACCCTCAGTAGCCAAATAAGCCCTTCCTCATGCCTGCATTAAATCAGATGTGAACTTCCTTGGCTCCTGGATGGAGTCAAGAGAACAATGGGCAGTGGCTCCTGAGGAGATGGGGTTGTATCCCAACCATGTCCGGAGCGGCAACAGAAACACAATCGATGTGGAGACCAGAGGTGACTCTCCCAGGACCCACAGAGCTTCAGCAAGGGCCTCCCTCCAGCAGTAGGGATGGAGGGAATATATATCTGTCCTCTCCTGTCCCTACACAGGGTTTTCTTGAAGAGGGAAAAACCAAACCTCCTTGCTGATGTCCTTCAGCCCTTCCTGCCCCAGCCCAGAAAGGCTCCCGTCAACCCTCCCACAAATGCCTCCTCCCTTCATCCATCCAGAGCTGGTGGATGTATGGGGGGCTGACACTGTCACTCCACCCTGATGAGGGGCAAGTCTCCCTGCACAGCCTAACAGAAGACAGGAGGCAGGAACCAGGAGCAAAAGAAGAGACGAAATCAGGCCGGGGGCTGTGCTACAAGCTGGAACAGAAGCCCCCACACACCACCCCCCAACCCCAGGGAGAGAGGGTGGCCGGTGGGTAATCCATGAGCCAGAAAGGGAGGCCCAGCCCAGCTCTGCCCAGAGGGATAGAGAGGGGCAAGGAGGAGGCTCCTCTGATCTCCATCCTCTTCCCTGCCATAGGAAGCCTGCACACCTGCCTTACCTACCATAGAGGCGGTGGGGGCATTCCCTGGCCGTGGAGAGCCACGTGCCAAGGAGCAAGGGAGGAACCAGACGTTCTGCTGGTCCCTGCAGTGGGAACTCCAAGCGCACATTATCCTCTTCTGGAAAGGAGAAGGTCTGAGAGGGGCTGCCCTCAGACTTGCACAAAGAGGGGTGTGGAAGGCTGAGCAAGGGCCACCTCCCAGCTGACCGAGCCAGCTCAGGGCCCGGTGCGGCTCCAGGGACAAGGTCAGGTCAAGTCCCAGCAGAGTGGACTTCAGTGAAATGCTCTGTGTCCTTCCCATGAGCGTCGAGAGAATCAGGAGAATCAACCCCTTTACTTCACGGGGCCTGGGAAGGTTTTACTGTCTATGGTCCCAGGGGGTCACCCTGACCCCCATGCTTGCCATTAGGGCCCCTTCCGGCTGCCCCACCCCGCCCCATCCCACCCCACCTCCCCACATAGCGTTTCCCCCTCCTCTCCTCCCCACTGAGAAGCCACATTTCACATCTGAGCCTTGTCACACTGAGCCATCTGGTTTCTCCGGCTCAGTCAGGGCCCCTGTAGACGGCAGGCTCTCTGAGGGTGGAGGACTGCAGCTTCGATGTGACCCAGGGGACCCAGCACAATTCTGGGCATACAACTGCCCCTCCCTAAATGCCTGCTGATCCATTGGGGCATGAAAATCAGCTTCCAAAAAAAAATATGGGCCTGGAAACCACCTACGGTATTCCCACAGACGCAGCCTCAAGTCCCTCTCCCAGCCCACCCGGCACCAGCCAGTTTGAGCTCTGGCTGGGAACTGGGATCTTATTCAGCCCATCTGGTCAGCATCTCTTTGGTTGCTTTTTATCAGCTTCATATTAGCAAAAAAAAAAAATCCCCTTCAAAACAAACAGCAAAGAGGTGGGGGAGGGTGCGTATAGGTCGGGTAGCAGCAGGCACGCCAGTGAGGGTGGGGGCCCGGGGGGAGCGCGGCAGAGACTCTCAGGCTGGAGGCCAGCTACTGCTCCAGCCAGCCCTTCCCAGTGGGAGAGCCACAAGAGGCCGTCCCTGGGCCCGCAAGCGTGAGATGAGCAAGCATGAGATGAGCCGAGCACTTGACCAAAACTAGTTTGGGTCTTAGAATTTAACTTATCGTGGGCCAGGTGCAGTGGCTCACGCCTGTCATCTGAACACTTTGGGAGGCCAAGGCTGGCGGATCACTTGAGGTCAGGAGCTCGAGACCAGCCTGGCCAACAGGGGGAAACCCCATCTCTACTAAAAATACAAAAATTAGCGGGGTGTGGTGGTGCGCTGGGGCAGGAGAACTGCTTGAGCCTGGGAGACGGAGGTTGCAGGGAGCCGAGATCGCGCCATTACATTTCAGCCTGGGTGACAGAGTGAGACTCCGTCTCAAAAAATAAATATAAAAATAAAGAATGTAACTTATTCTGTTGACTCGAGGAGGAACGGCGTTGCGTTGGGAGAGTCATTTCCTACCTTGGGGCTTCTGGTTTACCTATAAAGGAAATGGATCGCCCATCCCTAATCTTCTGTGACTCCCAAGCTAATCAACCAAAGGGGTGCCCCTGCCACACCCTCCCTGAGCCTGCACTGCCAAGAGAACCAGGTGAAGCCTTCTCCCACTGCCCGAGGCTCAAAGAACAGAGAACTGATTCATGAACCCTCAGGGCCAGGGACCCTCGGAGAGAGGCCAGCCTCCATCCAGGGCGTCTCTGGCCTCAGTGTGCTATAATAACCTGGGATGTGTCAACCAAGCAGAGGCCTGGCCTCACCCTAGGACAGGGATGTGGCAGGTGGAGCCCAGGCCTGCTGGGATATAGGATCCAGCCAGAAGCAGAGGAGTGGAGGGTCAGGAGCAGAACAACCTCCTCTGACCGAGATGTCCCTTACTGTCAGCAACCATAAACAAGTCCCAGGTCCCCACCCTAAGCCAGGGCCTGGGGGCCCTAAAGAATAGGACACAGTCGCTATGCTCAGGGAACTCAAGTTAAGGAAAGAATCGGACAGCCTGCAAGCAGGAGCTGCAATATTATTTCATCAATGTCATCACTTTTGTGATGGGACACTCCTGTGGTGAGCAGGCTGGTGTAAGGTGAGGATTGTGGTTTTAAATCCCTCATGGGTGGTTAGCTTTCACACAAAGGGAAAAAACCTCCTCGCCATAGACAGACTCCTAACTGCAGCCACAGGCTAAGCCACAGAATGAACCCAAATGACAGTCACAAAGAGAACCCCTCGGGCCAGGCACACCACACACACTGACCCCCAACCCCAACCACAGAAGGACCCCCACCCAGTCTGAGTCCCCAGGACAATCCCTCACCCCTTCCTCCCTTCCCAGCTCTGACCTTGTGCTTGGGGCCTGGGCAGTAAAGTCACAGGCTGGGAAATTGCTGAGCTGAGCTCAAAGGGGAGAAGGACAGAACACGGGGGAGGAGGAGGAAGGGACACCTCCTGACTGCAGCTGCTGAGCTTTCCCTGAGGCTGCTCTGCTCCGGGCCTGCCTGAGGCCCCTCCCGACAGCCTGTCATGGGAGAGCGCAGCAGGGGCAGGCACCCAGTGGATGCTCACAAATCATTTTTTGAAAGAATATGTTAAAAATAATCCCTGCTGTGGTCCAGATTCCTGAGCACCCCTGCCTCACTCCCTCCTTTCCACATTTCCTCACACTCCAGGCTCCCCACCTCACAAGTACCGTCTACACCCTCTGACTCTGACCATCTCCACCCATTCCTCAACACACGGCCATCTGCTGTCCGCCCCACCCCTCCCAGGGCTGGTCTGAGTTACATCCCCTGCAACTGCCAGGCCGCGGAGCCCAGTGGCCACTGTGCACTCTGCACCATACTTGGCCTCTCAGCAGCAGCTGGCACTGCTGCCGGTCCCACCACCGTGAAATGCTTCTCCCTCCATGTCCGGGCCCAGCCTCCTCTGCAGAGACCCCAGCACCACCTCGAGGTGCCGCCTCAGGAACCTCTCTTCCTGCTCTATCCTCTCCCTGGAGAGCTCACTCATCCCAAAGCTTCCATTCCCTTCTCTAGGAGAAGGGCTCCCAGATGTTTACCTCCAGCACAGAATGTTCTTCTGAGCCTCAGGCACGTCCAACTCAGTGCTTAGAGCTGACCCCTCGACAAGGCGCAGTGGCTCACACCTGTAATCCCAGCACTTTGGGAGGTCAAGGCGGAAGGATGGCTTGAACCCAAGAGTCTCAGACCAGCCTGGGCAACACAGCAAGACCTTGTCTCTACAGAAAATTTTTAAATTAGCTGGGCTCGGTGGCACATGCCTATATTCCCAGCTACTCGGGAGGCTAAGATGGGAGGATCCTTGAGCCCGAGGTTGCAGTGACCTTGGAATGAACCACTATCCTCCAGGCTGAGTGACAGCGCACGACCCTGTCCCTAAAATTTTTTTTTAATTTAAAAGAAGAAGAATTGAATCCTAATCCTCCCTCCTGCACCAACCTTTATCTCAGAGAATGGTTGTCCCATGTATCTACTGGCTACAAACCTGGGAGCCATTCTCGCCGCCTCCTTCTCCCCAAATCTCATATCTCATCAATTCACCACCTGCAAAATCTGAGCTCCAACCACTTCCAAACAACCCCACCGGCCCCTCCGAGTCAGGCTTCCATCTCTTCCCCTGGATCCTGCAGCAGCCTCAGCTCATCCCCTCTCCACTCTGTTCCCTGCCATGCATTCGCCATATGACGCCAGGTGATTTTCCAAAGGTCTCATCTTAATCCTCTGGGTAACATCGTCAATGACTCCAGTGCTCTTAACTAGGAATAAACTCTAAAATCTTCAGCAGAATGTCCAAGCGTCTGCTTGATCTGGTCCCTGCCTGCATGCCCAGCCTCTCCAACACTAACTCCGGCTTCACCAGCTGTTCTGATCTCCCTCCGGTTCCTCTTGCTGTCGCCTTCTCTCTCTCGGCTGCCTGAACGCATGTGCAGAGGCCCACAGCAGTGCTTCTCAAGCTGCCCTGTGTATACAAATCACCGGAAAATGACGGTAAAATGCTGACTCTGGGCCAGGCGTGGTGGCTCACGACTGTAATCCCAGCACTTTGGGAGGCCGAGGCGGGCGCATCACGAGGTCAGGAGTTCGAGACCAGCCTGGCCAACATGGTGAATCCCCGTCTCTACTAAAAATACAAAAGTTAGCCAGGCGTGGTGGCACGCACCTGTAATCCCAGCTACTCGGGAGGCTCAGGTAGGAGAAGCGCTTGAACCCAGGAGGTGGAGGTTGCAGTGAGCCAAGATCGCGCCACTGCACTCTGGCTCGGCGACAGAGCAAGGCTCTGTCTCAAAAAAATAAAAAAGCTGACTCTGATTCAGTGGTCTGGGGTGGAACCTGAGATTCTGCATTTCTAAGGGGCTCGCAAATGGTGCAGGTGTTGCTGGTCCCTTGGCCTCCCTTTGAACAGCAAGAATCTAGAACACTCTCCTCCACTCGGACTCCACCTTAGCCTAACTAGCACCTATCCAATTTTCAGGGCTCAGCTGAAACATCATTTCCTAACAAAAAGCCCTACCTGACCCTCTCCGAGACTAGGTTAGAGTCCCCCCACCTCCTAACCTTACGTTCCCCCTGAGCTATGCTGTGCTTCACCTTTAGAATATTCACCACGTTTAACTGTGCAGCCCTCATTCCTGACATTATTTTTCCATTTTTGGCTCCCTAGCTAGACGACAAGCTCTAGGAGAGCAGGGACCACAATGTCTGGTTTACTACAAGGTCCCCAGAACCGAGCACTGGGCCTGGCTGAGCATGCGCACATGTGGCGGAAAGCTGTGGGTCTTGCCTGCCCCGCATCCCTTCCCCTTCTTCTCATGGTACCACCGCCATTTCCCTCTAGGACCTACCCCTCCCTCATTCTCAGTTCTTATGGTTTAGGTGGGCGGTCATGAGACCCAGGTCTGGCCAATCAGAGCCTTTCATCTTTCTGGTGCCGGTAATTGGTTCAGGGACAAACATGTGACCTAAGCCAGCCAATGAGCTTCTTCCCTGGGACTTTGTTAGAACTACTGGGGGAAAAAAATACTTTTCTTTTCACTGGGGTTACTTCACAGGTAGGAGCTGCTACCACCCTTCGGCTGCCACAAAGGCAGCTTGACAAAGAATGAAACCAACACAGAAGAGAGAAAGAATGAGACTGATCTTGCGGATGCAGTCATGCCTGCCGTCTATGCTTGCAATTACAAAGGCAAAAAATACCCTTTTATGACTAAGCCAGAGTGAGTTATGTTTCTGTCACTTACAACCAAGAGTCCTAACTAATACAAAATTCAAATAAATACTGGGTATTAAATGAATTAAATGAGTACATGAGTAAGTAAAATCTGCCAAGAGAATTCAGGGACTCCTCCTAGGAGACTGTCAGACTTCTCCCTGCAAACTCCTGCCATCTGTGAGGACAGAGACAAGCATCCCACAGCCACCTTTGTAGACCAAGGGGACACTCGGAATGGTGACAGGCTTCTTAGCATTACCCTGTGCAAAGAGCTGGCCCAGCACCCGGCTCAGATACCAACACTGAGCTGGGTGCTGGGGCAGGCACTAGGCTAGTGAAGGTGGTCTGGCTTCCACTGCCCTCTGGGTACTGCACAAGGAAGACAGCACAGCTCTCCTTGGTCAGCCCTGCACCCTGTCCTGCCCCCCCGCCCACCGCTGACCACTTAACCCACCCAGGGCAGGCTCTGGCTACCCCTCAACACACAGGCTCCTCGAGGCATACCACATGGCTCTGTATGTGATGGGTATCGGATACAGGACAACAACAGGAAGATGGATGGGTTTTATCTGCTTCCTATGGGTTGTCATCTTGCAAAAGATTAGGTTCAGGGAAGAGGAGGGGTGATGCAGAGCAGTGAGGAAGAGATGCCTGATGATCTCCCTGTGAGCCACTCAGAGCACAGCCCCAGGACAGAGAGGAGCTGGCCTAGATGTCCCCTCAGATGACTCAGGAGGCAGGTGACTTCTTCAGCACTAGTCCTCACTCACTCCACAGAGTGTGAAGGAAGGAGGGAGGCAGGGAGGGAGGGAGGGAGAGCGTGCATGCCAGCCTATGCAGAAACACTGGCTGAGCCAAAAGTCTCCTCTGAGGACCAGCTCAGGCCTGTGTGGCCATCCTGCCGAGGCGTCGGACTGAAAAGTGATGGGGGAAGGTCATGGTGGCAGAAGGGCACTGCTCCCTCGGCTCCCGTCCAGGAGTGAGAAGGTCCTGGGCCTAGCAGCCTGGACTGTGGTCTCCCCAGGAAAAAGGCTCACGAAGGAAGTGCTGATAAGAAAATAACTGCCACCCCGACCCGAACCTCCAGCCAACCCTTCCATGGGGACTGCCGTGAACAGGCCCAGCTCAGAAGGGCCAGCCAGAGGCCGGCAGACCAGCATGCAAATGCCCTTCAAGTCCCAGGAGGGCCACAGCCCAGCCCCAGGCAGTCCTTCTGGGCAGCTGCCTTCTATCCCCCGGCTTCCTCCTGGCTGGGCCCCTTGTTCCCAAACTCCACTACCAATTACCAAGAGTCCTGCCAACCCCATTTCAACCCCAATGTCCTCACCGCCCCTTGACACAGACACCCTGAGTCTCTTGTCATGCTTCCCCCGCACTGGTGCTTAACTGAACATCACCTCCTCCGAGGTGTCAGGACACTCCACAGCCCCACTGCGACGGACGCTGCTGGGCCTGGAGCCAAAGCCACAGCAAGGCCTCACAACTTCCCCACACTCTCCCCTCCCTGCCTTCCTGAATCGAAGCCTCTTACCTTCATGGTGGGAGGTGCCGTGAGAGGAGGGGAGAGCGGCCGGTCTGGGAGGGTCGCATCCGAGCTGTTGGCCAGCTCCTGCTTCCTGTGAAGAGGCCAAAAGAGGTGAGTGAGGACCTGCCTGCGCCTTCCCTTCTCTCCTCCAAGAGTGACTGGGCTCTCGGACACAGTTTAACATACAATGCAGGCTGGGTTGGGTGGCTCACGCCAGTAATCCCAGCACTTTGGGAGGCCGAGGCAGACGGATCACCTGAGGTCAGGAGTTCAAGACCAGCCTGACCAACATGGTGAAACCCCATCTCTACTAAAAATACAAAAAATTAGCTGGGCGTGGTGGTGCACGCCTGTAGTCCCAGCTACTAGAGAGACTGAGGCAGGAGAATCACTTGAACCTGGGAGGTGGAGGTTGCAGTGAGCCAAGATGGCGCCACTGCACTCCAGCCTGGGCAACAAGAATGAAACTCCGTTTCCAATTAAAAAAAAAAATACAATGCAGAAACCAGAATTGGGAGCATTTTCTTTACTCCAATGCACCAAAATCTAAAGCAGTGCTACTCTAAGTATGGTCCCTGGACCACCAGCGGCACCTGGGAACTCGAAAGACATGCACATTTGCAGGTGCACACCAGGCTCTCCAGTGATGAGCCCAGGAACCTGCGCTCCAACGAGCTCTCCAGGTCATTCTGCTACACGGCAAAGTCTGAGAACCACGGGGCTAAAGAGATCCAGGACTGGGGCTGGGTGTGAGAAGAGGAGGGGAGAAACGCGGATTCATTCTCCCTTGAGCCCCTCTGCACGTACACACACACACACACACACACACACACACACACACACAGGCCCTGGTCAAAAAGCTGTCCTCGGGAGACAGGGCTGCCTGCCGTGCAACCGCAGGTAAAACTTAACTTAGTCCATGTGGGCTAGGACGGTAGAGAGGCAGCTAAACAGAGTTGTGTCACCATGGCAACATGACTGCGACAAGTTTGCCGCGCTCACACACTCCCCACTTTCCATCTGGCCCTCGCTGGTGACCGGGGAGTGCTGTGTGCGGTCCCATCACCAAGCAGACGGTTTGGCATGGGATCAGCCTTCAGAGCCACGGCTGCACAACAGGGCCAGCTGGGCAGAGCCTGGGGAATTCCCGGGTGAGGGACTCCAGTGTCCTGAACAAGCTCTGGCTGTACCCAGGAGGGGACGAGGGGGCTGGGAGAACCGTATTAAAAGCCGAAGAGGGCCGGGCTGAGCCGTCAAAGCCCCCAACTTTACAAGTGTGTCCTCCTCTACAGCCCCGCTCTGAAGCAGCAGAGAGAGTCAGCCCAACCCCCAGGTCCTGCGTAAATGATCAAAGCACCCCCACTGCCACCTCCAGAGAATCCTTCTGCCCCTCTTCCCAGCCCAAGTCCTGCCAGCGAAGCGACAGTTCCAACCCCACACCTTCTTCATGACAGAAACCCACCCTCCCTACAGAGCCCAGCCCTCCAGGTTTCCAGGCCCAGACCCCATCCTGCCTGGCTCCCTGAGCCCACGGAGCAGGACCAGGCTGAGAACACTTCCAGGCTAGGCCTGGGTCATGTGTACCCCTGCCTGCCCCTGCAGTTGACCAGCCAGCCCTCCCTGTGGCCAACTAGGGAGCCACATCAGGGGCCTGGGGACTACCTGGCTTGGCAGAGAATCCATTCCACCCCATTAACCTGAACCTGGCAATCCCTGTCTCCTGCTCCCCATCTCCCTTCCTCTTTCTTTCTTCCTGGACCTTGTTGATGTAAGTTTTGATGGCTGGAGAGGGGGGACTCTCCCGCCTGATCCAGGCTGTAACTGGCTCAAGAAACCAGCAGGGCTGAGATAGCTCCTAGGTGTGTGCACACACTCTCACACACACACAAAAGCAGGCACCAGCTCCTGCTACCTCTCAGCTAGAGCTGCCAGCCTCCTTCTATGTACGGCCTTGGACATTACCACCGTAGGCTCCAGTCTGGCTGCTCTGCCAGACACTCACCTGCCTGTGTGCACAACAGAGCTGGGTCCAGCACAGGCTCACCGCCTCCTCCACCTGGCCCTCTCCCAAGCAGCCACAGCTCCTCCTCAATGGGCCTGGCCTTTAAGAGCCATGATGGGGGAAAGGAAGAATGATCAAGCAGGAGGGCATCACCCTCAGGTCCTCTTCGGGCCCATGGTGAGAATGACAGCTGCTCCCCTGTAAGGCTAGGAGCCCAGCAAGGAAAAGCACGCAGGGAGGGGAAGTAAAACAAGCCCCCACCAGATGCTATAGGGCGACTCTGGGCTTAGCAGAGGGCCTCTGGAGATGGCTCGCAGGCACCTTGATGGACAGCAGCCCTGGCTCTCCAGAAACACACAGTCCAGAGGAGGACAGAGCTGGTTTTAACATCACCGGTCACTGGACGCTCATACACACAGTCATGCTGTCTATTTTTCCCCATCAGGCACAAGGTGTCCACGCTCATGGCACCAGGGCACATATGATTATTGTTCAAGGCCCTGAGTCCCGGTCAAAAGGGCGCAGCATCCAACACTCCCTGAGCTGAGCCCCTCTCCCCTGCCTTTTCCCCCTGGATGCTGGATAAGCTCCTGGGGCCGGTCTCTACTGGACACTGGATAAGCTCCTGGGGCCGGTCTCTAGGAAGCGAGGCAGACTCTCAAGTCGGAGCACATGGCAGCTTCTGACCAGAAGGATTTCCCAAATGATGCCTGGGAGCTTGGAAGGCGCTAGAGCAGACATGAGCACCAGTGGTGACCAGCCTCATGCAAGCTCCAGCGCTGTGTCCAGGACTCCAGAGGGGGTGCCAGGGTGGGCAGAAGGCATGACTGCCACCCTCAAAAACATCTGAACTGGGCCCAGAGCGGTGGCTCATGCCTGTAATCCCACCATTTTGGGAGGCTGAGACGGGGGTGGATCACTTGAGGTCAGGAGTTCCAAACCAGCCTGTTCAACGTGGCGAAACCCCGTCTCTACTAAAAATACAAAAATTAGCCAGGCATGGTGGCGTGTGCCTGTCATCCGAGCTACTTGGGAGGCTGAGGCAAGAGAATCGCTTGAACCCAAGAGGTGGAGGTTGCAGTGAGCTGAGATCGTGCCACTGCACTCCAGCTCGGGTGACAGAGCAAGACTCCATCTCAAAAAAAAAAAAAAGAAGGGAAGGCAACAATGTGAAGAAACACACAGTGAGAATGCCCCGTGTTCTCAGGCAGACACAGGAGTGATGCGGCTGCAAGCCAACGCATGCTGAGGCTTGCCGACCCCGCCAGAGGCTAGAAGAGGCGAGGAAGGATTCTTCCCTAGAGCCTGCAGAGGGAGCGTCGCCCTGCTGACACCTTGATTTTGGACTTCTGGCCTCCAGAACTGAAATAATAAATGTCTGCGGCTTTAAGCCATCTGAGGTCCTTGGTAATGGCAGCCCTAGGAAATGAATGCAGTGCCCAGGCCCCAGGTTCTAGCCTTGGCCTAGAGAGCCAAAAACAGTGAAGATGAAATCCTGCTTCTGCCTCACCACCCCTGCTCTGATCAGCTATGCTCAGCCTTGTCCTGCCCCAGGACAATGACATTTACACATGAGCCACCCTCCCAAGGACAGCCAGGCACAGCCCAGCCCAGCCACCAGCTGGCACCGAGATAAGATAGAGTTAAGTGACGCGGTGCTTGATGCAGTTTTATCCCTTTTTCTCCCACTCAGGCAAACATATCACACACGAGGAGGTGAAAGTGATGTGATTATATCAAGGGATAACCTTGAATGTGCTCTAATTAGAAGCAAAAGGTAAATCCTTAGCCGAGGTGACAACTTCTTTGTGACCCACAGGGATCTATCTTGCCACATGTCATGGCACTGAGATTGAAAACCGCAGCCCTCAAGCGACCCAGCCCCATACTCGCATGCAACTCTAACGACGCGGGGCCCCAGACCCACCCAGGGACCCACAAGGACCCATGAGAGGAGGGGCTGGAGATGGGGACAGCTTGGAAAGCAGAGAAGGGAAAAGGAGGATGGAGAGAAGCCAGAGGAAGAGAAGAGGAAGATTACATACTCAGTTCAAAGAGAAGGGTGGCAAGGGCAGGCTGGAAGGGCAGGTCAGAGAGCCTCTGCCACCTGGGGGAGTCCTGGAGGCCCTGCCCCTTCTCACATGGCACTGAGGTTCCCTGCTCTGGGATTCTTTTCCTCCCTAGAAGCACAGGAGATCCAAGGGCAGATGGGGAGGCTCAGGGAGACCAGGACGCGTCCTAGCCAGCGTTGGCCAAATGCAAATCTCTGGAGGAAATGGTCAAAGGGGCCTGGAGTGGAAGCTGAGAAGTCAAAGGCCATGATTCACCCAGACGGAGCTAGACAGACCCCTGGCGGAGCCCCTGTGACAGCACCCAGGCCTGCAGGCTCCTCGCCTCCCCACCCTCGGAGGGCTCTGCCTCAGACCATCTTGAGGTCACTGCAACCGTCATGTCTCACACATCGCTATGGAGAGCACCCTACACTTGGAATCAAGGGATTCCTGGGTTCAAGTTTGGCTCTGCCTGCTACCCAGCTGTGAGGCCTTGGTTAAGTTACCTCGTTGTGTCTTGTTTCCTTCATCTGCAAAGATAGGGGTAATAAAGTACCAAGGAGTTAAAAATAATAGCTGTGGCTGGGAGAGGTGGCTCTCACCTGTAATCCCAGCACTTTGGGAGGCAAAAGTGGGCAGATCACCTGAGGTCAGGAGTTCGAGACCAGCCTGGCCAACATGGTGAAACCCTGTCACTACTAAAAATACAAAAATTAGCCAGGCGTGGTGGCGGGTGCCTGTAATCCCAGCTACTTGAGAGGCTGAGGCAGGAGAATCGCTTGAACCTGGGAGGGGGAGGTTGCAGTGAGCCGAGATCTCACCATGGCACTCCAGCCTGGGCAACAAGAGCGAAACTCCGTCTCAAAAAAATGAATTAATTAATTTAAAAAAATAACAGCTGTGACATAAAACATGAAGTTCTATATCAATGTAGACCATGATGATGATGATGATGATTATAACTCATAAAATGTTGATGTGGTCTCCAAGTGGAGACAGAAGCAAGAGTCCAAGGCCGTTTAAATGCCTTGGAAAACATTTCTGGCATCTCAAATGAGCACCAGTTCTAGCCTGGGGATCTACTCTCAGGATCATAACCGTTGGTTAATAATCAACCACAGGAAAAACACTCACCTAGCAGCAGGTGGCTCTGGGGCCAGGTGTAAGGCCCCCTCCACACGGGGTTCTCCCAAAGCCTGAAACTCCCCTTTCCTGCATCCCCTCCCCACACCCGCTCCCAGCCATCCACCCACGCTCAGCTACGCTTTCTCTTGCTTTCCAAATAGCCAAGCTAGAGGAATACAGACAGCTGGGCTGCAAAGAGCTTCTCGGGAAAACCAAACCAAAAGGAACAAGAAACATGATTCATAATGGCCAAAAGGGGGAAGCAATCCAAGTGTCCATCCGCCAACGAACAGATAAATAAAATTTGGTTGTTCCATACTGTGGAATACTGCTCACCCATAAAAAGAAATGAAGCAAAAATAATTAATTTTCAAAAATAAAAATAGGACCACGGGCAGTGGCTCATGCCTGTAATCCCAGCACTTTGGGAGGCTGAGGCAGGCAGATCACCTGAGGTCAGGAGTTCAAGAACAACCTGGCTAACATGGCGAAACCCCATCTCACTAAAAATACAAAAAATTAGCCAGGCATGATGGCGCATGTCTGTAGTCCCAGCTACTAAGGAGGCTGAGGCAGGAGAATCACTTGAACCTGGGAGACAGAGGTTGCAGTGAGCCAAGATTGTGCCACTGCACTCCAGCCCGGGTGACAGAGCGAGACTCCACCTCAAAAAAATAAAAATAAGTGGCTGGCTGTGGTGGCTGACGCCTGTAATCCCAGCACTTTGGGAAGCCAAGGCAGGCGGATCACGAGGTCAGGAGATCGAGACCATCCTGGCTAACATGGTGAAACCCCGTCTCTACTAAAAAAAATATTTAAAAAATTAGCCAGGTGTGGTGGCGAGCACCTGTAGTCCCAGCTACTCGAGAGGCTGAGGCAGGAGAATAGCGGAAGCTCCCGGAAGGCGGAGCTTGCAGTGAGCCGAGATCGCTCCACTGCACTCCAGCCTGGGTGACAGAGTGAGACTCCGTCTCAAAATAAAATAAAATAAAATAAAAATAAAAACAAACTGATAGCTTATGACTATAAAGACAATAGAAAGAAAAGGAATGAAGAACTGATGCATGCTACAACACGGATGCACCTAGGAAGCACGGTGCCGAGTGACAGGAGCCAGGCACAAAAGGCCACATGCTGTGTGATTCCAGTTCCATGAAATCCACAGAACAGGCAAATCCACAGACAGAACGGTGATGAGAGGTTGCCAGGGGCTGCAGGGAGAGGGGAACGGGATGCAATCGCTAATCAATACTCCTGCTAATCAATACTCCAGCACCACTCCTGATTCACTGTGTGGTCAGGTTATCTCACCTCTCCATGCCTCAGCTTCCTCATCTGTAAAACGGTGTGACTACTCCTCGCCTCATGGGGCGTTATGAGGAAGGCCCAGAAAGCACTCAGCACAGTGCCTGGTACGCTGCAAAAACATGGCTGGTCGCCTTGTTGCCAAGGCTCAAATCAACGGGAAGAATGGGCACGGAGGAGGAGGGGCCAAGGCAGAAAGCTGATCAGAAGGCAGAGGTGGACGGGGGCAGGGACATCTTCAGATCTGGGCACTCGCTGCCCCACATACTGTGGATGCTAAGCTGGGAGACAGGGACACGGGAGCCCAGCTGCCATGTGGGAACCGCCAGGCCCCGGGTATATGCACATGGCTCAATTCCAAGCCCCAAGGGGACAGACATGGAGATGCGGGCACTGATGACCCTCATGCCTGTGCTGGGGCCAGTGTGGAAGGGAGAAAGGGCATGAGCCCAGCAGACCTGGCAGAGTGTGGGGGAGGGAAGAGGACACTGGATTCAGGAACAAAAGGCTCCAACAGGTGGAGTGAATGGGTAGCTTGAGAAGGAGCAGGTGTTGCGCACCTGTTCCTACCTGGCAGGGCTGACCTCGGGGTCACAGCCCATCCCAGCACATACTCTGAGAGGATTCCAAAGATTTGGGGCACCAACTCTAGACCTTTGGTGATTCAAAACTCCCCCGTTGGCCGGGTGAGGTGGCTCACACCTGTAATCCCAGCACTTTGGAGGCTGAGGTAGGAGGATGGCTTGAGCCCACGAGTTCAAGACCAACCTGGGCAACATGGTGAAATCCCATCTCCATAAAAAATTTAAAAATGAGCCAGGTGCATGCCTGTAGTCCTAGCTATTCAGGAGGCTGAGGTGGGAGGATCACTTGAGCCTAGGAGATCAAGGCTACAGTGAGCCGTAATCATGCCACTGCACTCCAGCCTGGGGGACAGAGCGAGACCCTGTCTCAAAAAAAAAAAAAAAAAGACTCCGCAGAAATTGCAAAATGGCAATCCCCACCCCTACTTCAATCCCAGGGTTCACGGATGCAGAGAGCAGCAGCCGTGGGAGAAAGCACCAGATGCCACCCGACAGCCTCATTATGCAGACAAGCACGTGGAGGCTGGAGAGCCGAGGGAACCGCCCAAACCCCACAGTGAGCCTCTCTTCTCTTCTCCAAGGAAGAGGCCCCACTTCCAAATCACCTCGGCCCAGGCTTGTGGGAAGTGGGGAGCAAGTCTCAGGAGGGGCTGGGTATGGTGGCTCACGCCTGTCATCCCAGCACCTTGGGAGGCTGAGGTGGGCAGATCACTTGAGGTCAGGAGTTCGAGACCAGCCTGGCCAACATGGTGAAACCCCATCTCTACTCAAAATACAAAAATTAGCCAGAAATTGCTTGATCCCAGGAGGCAGAGGTTGCAGTGAGCCAAGATCGTGCCACTGCATTCCAGCCTGGGCAACAGAGCGAGATTCCATCTCAAAGAAAAAAAAAAGTCTCCAGGAGGAACGTGTCAGGAAGCACAACTGGCTTCTGGACACCCATTTTTTTGTTTGTTTGTTTTTGGTTTTGAGACGGAGTTTCACTCTTGTTGCCCAGGTTGGAGTGCAATGGCACAATCTCGGCTCACTGCAGCCTCCGCCTCCTGGGTTCCGGCAATTCTCCTGCCTCAGCCTCCCAAGCAGCTTGGATTACAGGCACGCGCCACCACGCCCAAACAATTTTTTGTATTTTTATTAGAGACAGGGTTTCACTATGTTGGCCAGGCTGGTCTCGAACTCCTGACCTCAGGCGATCTACCCGCCTCAGCCTCCCAAAGCGCTGGGATTATAGGCGTGAGCCAGCGCACCTGGCCTGGACACCCGTTTATAAAGTGCCAAGGCCCTCAAGTGAGGGGACAGAAGGGGGAGAGGGTCAAAGGGGGCTACTGGTCCCCTGCATAGAGCAGACAGAGAGCAGGAGGCCCAGGCTGTGCAGGAGATGAGCCGGCTGGAGTCTCTGCTGCAGGCTACACCCTGCGCAGGACCCTGTGGCTGCACGTGGGCACAAGGGGAGGCCCGGGCCAGACTCGGGCTGCAGCTTCAGAAGACACTCCTGCTGCCCTCCAGGTGCATTAGATGAGGACAGGACCTGAAGTCCTAAACTGCACCAGGGCTAGGAAAAAGG
Source organism: Homo sapiens (assembly GCF_000001405.40). NCBI lineage: Eukaryota > Metazoa > Chordata > Mammalia > Primates > Hominidae > Homo > Homo sapiens. Next base: position 2,896,743 of record NC_000017.11, on the reverse strand, counting down.
GCAGGAGGCGGGAGGAACAGGACCCTACGGGCAGACCACCTGGGAGAACCTCTGCAGCCCCTCCACAGCCCTGTGGTTGGGGGCACCTGGGGCCCCCTCGTGCACATATCTCAGAGCGATGGACCAATCTACCCACATGGGCAAATCCTCACCCTGGGAAAATAAGCCTTTACCGCACAAGCAGCTTTTAGAACTGATGCGTGCTTTATGGTTTACACCCAAGCCAGCAGAGATTCCGAGTTCTATGTGAGCCTGGGGTCACAGAGTCAGAAAATACGAGAGCTGGACCTCAACCCTGAGATCTCTGACTCCCATTCCGGTGCTCCTTCCCACTGCCATGGGAAAGCCAGCTCCACCTGGCCCAAGTACCACAGCAGGGAGCGAGGAGGGGACAGTGGCCAAACGTCTTCTTGTGTGTTTTGAGTTCTTGGGGACCAAGGGTAGTGTCTCAGCGTGGGAGGCGACGTCTGTGTGATTCACAAGCATCTGAGAAAATGATCCGGGCAAAATGCAGAAAACCATCCTGCAGGCACGGCACACCCACCTGAAAGACCCGAGTGCCAAACATGGACTGTGGGGTCATGGGGTGAAACAAGAGATACAGAATCAAGTGCCATGAGGTCACAGGGAGGAGAGGTCTGGTTCTCCTTGGGAGACCAGCTACGGGATCGCACAGGAGGCAACGGCTGATCTAGGCCTAGAGAAGAGGCCAGCAGTGACCTACGGGAGAAGCGGGGAAGGGGAGGGCACAGAAGCAGGACGCAGAGGAACGTGACCAGCATGACGGAGAGACCACCAGTGTCGCAATGCCCAGGAGACACATCACACCATTCGAGGGCACAGCAGGCTGGCAAAAGGGGAGGGCAGGCCGGGCGCGGTGGCTCACAGATGTAATCCCAGCACTTTGGGAGGCCGAGGCAGGCAGATCACTAGAGGTCAGGAGTTTGAGACCGGCCTGGCCAATGTGGTGAAGCCTCATATCTACTAAAAATACAAAAAATTAGCCAGGCATGGTGGCAGGCGCCTGTAATCCCAGCTACTCGGGAGGCTGAGGCAGGAGAATTGCTTGAACCCGGGAGGCGGAGGTTGCAGTAAGCCGAGATCGCGCCACTGCACTCCAGCCTGGGCAACAGAGCAAGACCCCGTCTCAAAAAAAAAGTAGCGGGGAAGGGCAAATGCCAGCAAACAGGCCTCAAGGGTTAGGGCACTGTGTGAAGTGATCCATGTACACTCTCTTATTTAATACCACAATCCACTGAAGGAAATAGTATTAACCCCTTTTACAGCAGGGAAAATGAGGCTCAGAGAGGTTAAGCGGACCAAGATCATGTTGCTGGAAAGGAGCAGAGTGAGGCTTGGGCGCAGGCTTGGCCCCAGGGTCTGTGGCGTTTACCACGGTGCTACACTGCCTCTGAGGAGGAGAAGGGGCCCGCTGGGGAGGAGATCCCATGGCCCACGGCTTCCCAGAGTGGACGCCTGCCTCCCCGCGGGCCCCCGAGGGCACCTGGGGTGGTCTTCACTGTAACAGTCACTTACTGAGCTTTGACAGAGACCCTCTTTGTGGGAGGCCACCCTGATTTTCCTTTTATGGTAGTGACGTAAAGGTGCCTTCTGAAACAAGTCCACTGAAGTTGTAACACCTGAGCCGCTTGAAGGAAAACATTATGGGCCTGAGACAGGTGACACACACACAGTACAAACAGTGCCGGCGCTGTGCGGACGCTGGGAAAAGGTGCCGCATGCTGAACCCTCTCTCGAGGGCAAAGGAAGGAAGCCAAGGGGCCCGAGGCGGGGTGCCCATGACCTGCAGAGCTTTGCTGGAGGACTCTGCAAGCAGCAGAGAGAGAACGGAGCGGCTGGAAGGGAGGGGCCAGGGGAAGACCGAAACGGGGCCGAGGGGCGCTGCCCTCCACTGCGCTCACAGCCACAGAAATGACATGAAAGGGTCAGAGTCATAAGGCATTTCGGGAGCAAAATTAAGAGGACTTGGTGACAGAAAGTAAAGGGGGGGCCGAGAGCTAAACACACCAAGTAACCTGGGTTTCAGAAAACAGAATGACGGACGCTTCAGCCGTGATACAGACGGAGGAGGAGAGTCGCTTTGCGAGAGGCAGATGATAAGGCTCTCTTTCTGGACGCACGGCAAGCCAGGGGCCCCTGGGACACCCAAATGGGATCAGAACAGCACTAAAACCTAAGCAGAAAGACAGGTGTAACAAGAACAGAGGTGGAAGCTGAGGCCACGGGAGGGGTGGAGGCCCTCAGGGACAGCATGTAGGGCTTTGGGGTTTTAGGGGGTTTTTTGTTTGTTTTTGAAACGGAGTCTCGCTCTGTCACCCAGTCTGGAGAGCAGTGGCGCGATCTTGGCTCACTGCAAGCTCCGCCTCCTGGGTTCAAGCGATTCTCCTGTCTCAGCCTCCCAAGTAGCTGGGACTACAGGTGCCTACCACCATGCCTGGCTAAGTTTTGTATTTTTAGTAGAGATGGGGTTTTTGCCATGTTGGCCAAGCTGGTCTCAAACCCTTGACCTCAGGTGATCTGCCTGCCTTGGCCTCCCAAAGTGCTGGGTGCTGGGATTGCAGGCATGGGCCACCATGCCCAGCCTAACTTTTTTTTTTTTCTGTATTTTTAGTTGAGACGGGGTTTCGCCATGTTGGCCAGGCTCGTCTCAAACCCTTGACCTCAGGTGATCTGCCCACCTCGGCCTCCCAAAGTGCTGGGATCACAGACATGAGCGCCTGGCCGGCTTTCATAAAGCAAAAATGAACAGGAGCCCTCCAAGGGGCAGGGAAGGAGAGGTGAGAAGGCAGCCTGCTGGGATGGGCTGGAAGGGCGGTGCTCAGGGAAGAGCGCGTGCCAAGCAGGGGGTGGCAGAGGCTCCACCTCCCCTGCGCTGAAGAAATCACCAAGCCAGGTGCCTACGCACCCAGCCCTTCAAACGCACTCCGTCACTCAGAAACTGCCGACAGAGCAGTTCCCCTCCCGGGCGCAGTCAGCGGCTCTGCCTGGCACTGCCTGGCCTCCATGGGGGGAGCAGCGTCATGGTCAGAGCAGAGGCAGCCAGCGCACAAGGTCACGGCCTCCGGCAGCTTCAGAAACCACTCACAAAAGCCGGGAGTCACAAGGTGTGGGCTATCAGCATTTTCCCAGCCCGTAAACGCCCTTCACCTGGATGGCGAGGAAAGGCGCATTCATCTTATGATTCATTCAGTGTGGATGTATAACATTTATCACAATAAAAAATCATGTTTCAGCAGTGATAACTATGTACCCTCACTTCCTTTAGGAGATATAAATAGAGATATTCTGAAGCCTGTTGAGACTTCCAGGATGAACCTGTCAGACTGACCACACGCATTTATTATCCCACTTCTTCTGAAGCCCATTAAAATAACAGTAAGGGGGCTGGGTGCGGTGGCTCACGCCTGTAATCCCAGCACTTTGGGAGACTGAGGCAGGCAGATCACCTGAGGTCAGGAGTTCGAGACCAGCCTGGCCAACATGGAGAAACCACGTCTCTACTAAAAATAAAAAATAAAAAAACTAGCCGGGCTAGTAGCTGGTGGCGGGTGCCTGTAATCCCAGCTAGTTGGGAGGCTGAGGCAGGAGAATCACTTGAACCCGGGAGGCAGAGGTTGCAGTGAGCCAAGATCACGCTACTACACTCCAGCCTGTGCAACAAGAGCAAAACTCCATCTCAAAAAAAAAGAAAAAAGAAAAAGAGAAAAAGAAATATGATGAAAAGACTAAGTTGAGGAAATCTCCCAAAAAGTAGAACAAAAACATAAAGATACAGAAAACAAAAGAGGGAAGAGAAAAAAGATCAAATAGCCGACCAAGAAAGTTCCCAGAAAGAGAAAGGGGAGGGGAGCTGGCAGCTGGTATCCAAAGCTGGCATCTCTTGGTGCTGATGGCTTTGTGTGCTCCCCTCTTGAATCTGGGCTGGCCCTGTGACTCAGTCTTGACCAACAGAATGAGACAGACGTAACATTACCTCACTTTCAGGAATGAGTCACAGGACAGCTTCCACCTCTACCTCTAGGAACATTTGCTCCAGAGAAAGCAAGCCTGCACGTGAAAGGCCTGACTGAGACTGTCAATGCTGCAGCTGGGAACATGGAGAGGCTACATGGAGAGAGATGCCCAGATGCTCCAAACATCCCAGTCCATGCACATGAAGAAACCACCTTGGGCATCTCAGCTCCAGTAGATGCTATGAGAACACAGCCCAGCTCCCGGACATACAGCCCCAGTGGACCGTCGCAGTCATCTCCAGCCATCTGAGCCACCCAAGATGAGGTCCCCAGACGTTGTGAAAGCAGAGAGAAGCCATCATCTCCAACACGCCCTAGCTGAATTCCTCACCCACAGAACTTGAGCATAATAAAATGGCTGTTGTCTCACCATAACAGAAAGATTAGCAGGGAAATAGTACAAGAACATCTTCCAGAACTGAAGGTCCTGAGTCTCTGGGTCCACCAAGTACACAGCACAGTAAAGACACAAGATCCATCCCAAACACTGTCAGGAAATTTCAGAACACCTGGGCAAATGAAAAATTCTCAGTGACACCAGAGAGAAAATATAAATACATACCATATACAGAGAAATAGGAATCTGGGCCGGGTGCGGTGGCTCACGCCTGTCATCCCAGCACTTTGGGAGGTCGAGACAGGCAGATCACCTGAGGTCAGGAGTCCGAGACCAGCCTGGCCAACATAGTGAAACCCCGTCTCTACTAAAAATACAAAAATTAGCCGGGCATGGTGGCACATGACTGTAGTCCCAGCTACTTGGGAGGCTGAAGCAGGAGAATCGCTTGAACCGAGGAGGCAGAGGTTGCAGTGAGCCGAGATCACATCATTACACTCCAGCCTGGGAGACGAGAGTGAAACTCTGTCTCAAAAAAAAAAAAAAAAAAAAAAAAAAGAAAAGAAATATGAATCTGCATATCATCAGACTTTTCAACAGCAACTCTGGAATCTAGTAGGCAATGATGTTATAACTCTCAAAATTCTCAAAGAAAATTATTTTCAACCTAAAATTTCACACCCAGGCAAACTATCAACCAATAAAGACATTCTGAAATATGCAAGAGCTCAAAAAAATTCACACCCTTGCACCCTTTCTTGGGAGGATACTATCACTAGAGGATGGGGGGGCTCTGGAAGTGAGATCTCCTGGGGGAAAGAATGGAATTGACAGGTTATCTGATGGATGCAAGCTTGGCGGAGATGGGGGAGGGTAGGGAGGGGCCATCTATTAAAGTAATTGTGGTAGAAAAAAATAAAAGTAGAAAAATAGGCCAGGTACAGTGGCTCTCACCTGTAATTACAGTACTTTGGGAGGCCAAGGCGGGAGGATTGGTTGAGCTCAGGAGTTTGAGACCAGTTTGGGCAATATAGTGAGACCATGTCTCTCCACAAAAATTAGCCAGGCATGGTGGCAAGCACCCATGGTCCCAGCTATTTGGGAAGCTGAGGTAGGGGGATCGCTTGAACCCTGGAGGTCAAGACTGTAGTAAGCCATGAATGTGGCACTGCACTCCAGCCTGGGTGACAGAGTGAGACCCTGTCTCAAAAATTAAAAAAAAAAGAAAAAGAAAGATAGGTCCATAGAAAACAAAGCTAATGGCAGAAACAGGAGTTAATCATTAACTCCAAGAAACATGAAAAGTTATACAAGAAAGAAAACATAATTATGGTACCCTCTCACATAACAATGAATAACATTTACACAGTCATAAAAAGTAAACATTGGTCGGGCGTGGTGGCTCAAGCCTGTAATCCCAGCACTTTGGGAGGCCGAGGTGGGCAGATCACTAGAGGTCAGGAGATCGAGACCATCCTGACTAACACAGTGAAACCCCGTCTCTACTAAAAACACAAAAAATTAGCCGGGCGTGGTGGCGGGCGCCTGTGGTCCCAGCTACTCGGGAGGCTGAGACAGGAGAATGGTGTGAACCCAGGAGGCGGAGCTTGCAGTGAGCCAAGATTGCGCCACTGCACTCCAGCCTGGGTGACAGAGCAAGACTCTGTCTCAAAAAAAAAAAAAAAAAGTAAACACTGACCATTGAATTGGACCAAAAACTGGTGCTACTGGGAGGATACACTGTGTAATAAGGGGTCCCATGTGTTGGCTGAATTCCCGGCAAGCCCAAGAAGAAAAGGAGCCCCGTCTCACAGTGCCCAGCACAGAGGCGTGTTAAACCATCCATGCTAAGAAATCCCCCAGCAGTCTGTGAGCACTGAAAGTTTCCCTATCACAGAGCCAACCGGCCTTCCAGCTAAGCCACTGCTCCACTCCGCTCTAAGACTGTGTCTTAAGTCTTAACTCTTCTGAATAAGATTACTTGGTGACATAATGGATTAGGAGCTTCCATCATTGGTTCAAACTAAATAACAGTTTCAATGGGGACAGACTACAGCATTTCAGGGTAAATCTGCCTGGTCTATTCAATTACTATAATAATGTTATTCTCACTCATTAGAAAGACAAATGCATGAAGCTGTTTTCCAGCACTGAGACAGGGCACCTGGCCCATCCTCGTTCCTCCCCTTTCTTGCTTGTGACCGTGGTACATTCCTGGAAGACGAGTGTCCAGAACAAGGGGTTCCACCCATGGCCATGCAACCAAGCATCAGTGATTTGGCTCCCAGGGACCAGGGCTGGGATCTCATCTCAACAGCATGCTCTAACCCAACCTACAGAACACAGCGCAGGCCAGTGCGGGGGCTCACACCTGTAATCCCAGCACTTTGGGAGGCCAAAGCGGGCGGATCACTTGAGGTCAGGAGTTCAAGACCCACCTGGCCAAAATGGGGAAAACCCATCTCTACAAAAAAAAAAAAAAATATATATATATATATATATATATATACACACACATAAAAATTAGCCAGGCGTGGTGGCGTGCGCCTGTAGTCCCAGCTACTCTGGAGGCTGAGGCAGGAGAATCACTTGAACCCGGGAGGCAGAGGTTGCAATGATCTGAGATCGTGCCACTGCACTCCAGCCTGGGCGACAGAGTGAGACTCCATCTCAAAAAAAAAAAAAAAAAAAATCCAGCGCAGATCGATCAAACCTCCTGCCTCCTCCCAGTGCTGGCCTCTTTCTCTGGGACATTAGAAAAGAAAGGACAAGATACCTGCAAGAGCCTCCAGGGGCATACTGGAATCTGGCCATGGCCCCTGCAGTATTTCACGGCTGGAAAGTTCAGAAAGAGGGCTCAGCCGCCGGGAGCTCCACTGGGTGATCAAGATCTCCACGTGATGAGCAGAAACTCACTCCCCCGGCCAAGCCTACCTCTGACCCAGAGAGAACAGAGGCCTCTGGCTGGGCTCTAACACGCACCCTGACCACTGGCCTGCCCCAGCACAGGGCCTGGCACTGAATGAACTCAAAAATGTGTAACACATGGGGAGCTCATAGACCCCAAGAGGTGGAGGACTCGGCTGAGCTGGCACCCGGCTCATCACCACTGCAATTTGGTTCATCAGTGCTTTGGTTGACCTCATCTCCCTGCTCAAGAGCCTGAGACACGATTGGTGGGAACGTAAGTGAGCACAGCCACTATGGAACACAGCACGGAGGGTCCTCAAAACACTAGAAACAGAACAACCACATGACCCAGCGATCCCACTGCAGGGTACATATCTGAGGGAAAGGCAGTCAGCCTGTTGAAGAGCCATCTGCACTCCTGTGTTTACTGCTCACAACAGCCCAGGTGTGGAATGAACCTGAGTCTATAAACAGAAGAATGTACAAAGAAAAGGTGGTATAGGCCAGGCACGGTGGCTCACACCTGTAATCCTACACTTTGGGAGGCCAAGGCGGGCAGATCGCCTGAGCTCAGGAGTTCAAGACCAGCCTGGGCAACATGGTGAAACCCCACCTCTGCTAAAATACAAAAAAAAAAAAAAAAAATTAGCTGGGCGTGGTGGTGTACACTGTAGTCCCAACTACTTGGGAGGCTGAGGCCGGAGAATCACTTGAACCCGGGAGGCGGAGGTTGCAGCAAGCTGAGATCGCACCAATACGCTCCAGCCTGGTGACAAAGCAAGACTCCGTCTCCAAAAAAAAAAAAAAAAAGAAAAAGAAAAGGTGGTATATATGCACGATACTATCCAGCCATAAAAAAAGAACCAAATCCCGTCATTCGTGGCGACATGCATAAAACTGGAGGACATTATGGGAAGTGAAATAAGCCAGGCACAGAAACACACACACTGTGGGTTCTCATGCAAACGTAGAAGCTAAAAAAGTTGATCTCACAGAAGTAGAAAGCAGAATAGTGGTCAGCAGAGGCTGAGAAGGGCAGGAAAGAGAGGGGTTAGGGAGAGGTTGGCAGGGATACAAAAGTACCGAAAGGAGGAATCATTTCTAGTATTCTGTAGCCTTGTAGGGTGACCATAATTAACAATTTATTGTATATTTTCAAATAGCCAGAAGAGCAGATTTTGAACGTTCCCAATACAAAGAAATGATCAACGTTTGAGGTGACAGATATGCTAATTACCTTGATTTGATGATTACACATTGTATACACATATCAAAATATCACACTGTACCCCCAAAATAGGTATAATTATTATGTGTCAATTAGAAATCATGATCATGATAAAAGCAAAATTTTTAAAAACTCTGAGACAGAGTTAACCACTTCCCCACCTATTTGGTCTGTTACCAAGCTCCTGCTATTCCCTGGGGATTGATTCTGCTCCTGGCCTCGGGCTTCTTGTCTGGACACAGATAGTAGAGATAATAGTTAGGCCAGGCGCAGCGGTTCACACTTGTAATCCCAGCACTTTGGGAGGCCGAGGCAGGAGGATCACCTGAGGTCAGGAGTTCAAGACCAGCCTGCCCAACATGGTGAAACCCCTTCTCTACTAAAAGTACAAAGATTTGCCAGTGTGGTGGTATGCACCTGTAGTCCCAGGTACTCGGGAGGCTGAGGCAGGGGGATTGCTTGAACCCGGGAGGCATAGGTTGCAGTGAGCTGAGATTGCATCACTGCACTCCAACCTGGGCAATAGAGAGAGACTCCATTTCAAAAAAAAAAAACAAAAAAACCAAGCGCGGTGGCTCACGCCTGTAATCCCAGCACTTTGGGAGGCTGAGGCAGGCAGATCACCTTAGGTCAGGAGTTCGAGACCAGCCTGGCTAACATGGTGAAACCCATTTCTACTAAAAATACAAAAAATTAGCTGGGCGCAGTGGCGTGTGCCTGTAATCCCAGCTACTCGGGAGGCTAAGGCAGGAAAATCGCTTGAACCCAGGAGGTGGAGGTTGTAGTGAGCCGAGATCACGCCATTGCACTCCAGCTTGGACAACAAGAGCGAAACTCCATCTTAAAAAAAAAAAAAAGGTAAGTATTCTTCATCATCAGCCAGGTACGGTGGCTCATGCCTGTAATAGTAGCACTTTGGGAAGCCAAGGCAGGCAGATCCCTTGAGGCCAGGAATTCAAGACCAGCCTGGGCAATATGGGGAAACCCCGTCTCTACTAAAAATACAAAAATTAGCTGAGCGTGTTGGTGCATGCCTGTAGTCCCAGCTACTCGGGAGGCTGAGGCACTAGAATCGCTTGGACCTAGGAGGCAGAGTGCAATGCGCCACTGCACTCCAGCCTGAGCAACAGAGCGAGATCCTGTCTCCAAAAAAAAAAAAACTATTATTCGTCATCATCATCATATCAGCTAATATTTGCTTAGCACTATACTAAACTCTTTATGTACGTTATTTCATTTAATCTTTTCAACACCCCTATGTGGTAGATACAGAATTATTCTCCCATTTTGCAGATGAAGAAACTGAGGCTCAGAGACGGTAAGTGATTTCTGGAAGGTCCTGCAGCAAGTAAGTGGCACAGCTGGGATTCTGAGGGACCCGGAGGGGCAATCCCTGGATGACTTGCCTGTTGCACTGCTGCTTTGGATCCCTCGGCCTCAGTCCCACTCCCCGACCCCTGCCGCTCTGGTGTGCTGAGCCACTGGGCTCATTCATCAAGCCGTCTGCTGGGGAATGGGTAGTTCAAGGGCCGTGCAAACACCCACCTAGACAAACCTGAAGTCCACAAGCAAAGCTGCGTGGGAAAGCGCCTGAGACAGGCGTTATGTTTTTCTAAGAGAAAGTTATTTTTGCTTCGCTAAATGCCTACAAAAGTATCCTGTTAAATACCAATAACCCATTCTTGGATTGTTACAAAGGGCACCACTGACTATCATTCTGTTTTCTGATTTTTAAATTTTTATTGTAAATATAAATACATATGGCCGGGCACGGTGGCTCACACCTGTAATCCCAGTACTTTGGGAGGCCAGGACAGGTGGATCACCTGAGGTCAGAAGTTCGAGACCAGCCTGGATAACGTGGTGGAACCTCATCTCTACTAAAAATACAAAAATTAGCTGGGCGTGGTGGCGTGTGCCTGTAGTACCAGCTACTCGAGAGGCTGAGGCAAAAGAATCGCTTAAATCTGGGAGGCGGAGGTTGCAGTGAGCTGAGATCGCACCACTGCACTCCAGCCTGGGGGACACAGCGAGACTCCGGCTCAAAAAAAAAAAAAAAAAAATATATATATACACACACACACACACACACACACACATAAATACATATTCATTGGGAAAAAAAATTCAGAGTCCAGAGGCATCTAGTAAAGTGGACGGGGTGTGGGGAAGGCCCTGCCGCATCTGCCTTCTGCTCTTCTCATGCGACATCTCAACCCAGAGCAGGAGGCCCCAGGGGGCAAACCCAGCACCTGCCACAGGGAATCAGGGCTGAGAAAAGGCCGGCATTTCGGCCTTCCTGCCGAATCATTTCCAGCTGCCCTGGTCACCTAAGTGACAAGATGATGCATCAATGTCAATAATGCTGGAAGGGACTATCCACAGACACGGCGATATTCTCCCCAGGAGGCATGAGGGTGGCCTCGCCAGGCAGCTGGAGCCACTGAGAATTAAGGGGCCCTCTTCAGGATCTCTGTCTCCCCTTCCCAGATCCTCTCCCTGCCCCAGTTGGCTCAACCAAATGGTGACAGGAAGAGGCCATTCCTAGGCCAGCCAGAAAATCACCCAAGTGAAAAGGCACTGCTTCAGCCCCTAGACCCAGAACTGAGTGTACGTGGTGGGATGCGAGGAGCTGCCAAAGGGAGAGAACACAGAGGCTCTTCCTGCTGGAGGAGCTGGTTGCAGCTGCGAGACTTGGTGGGGGTAGCCGGGCCTCACCATTGCTCACCTCCAACGTACTCCAAGCCCACCGATCTAGCCTCTGAACAGCTCCTGGCTCCTGTGGACATGCAGGGACTATGTGCTGGATGAACTGAGGTGCTCAGGGGCTCTGTTGCATCAGTGCCCCATGAGAAAGCATGCTGAGAACCTTCCAGCCGGATCTGCCAAGACGTGTGTCTATCTGCCGGGCGCGGTGGCTCACGCCTGTAATCCCAGCACTTTGGGAGGCCGAGGCGGGTGGATCACGAGGTCAGGAGTTCGAGACCAGCCTGGCCAACATGGGGAAACCCCATCTCTACCAGAAATACAAAAAATTAGTCAGGCGTGGTGGCGGGTGCCTGTAATCCAACTACTGGGGAGGCTGAGGCAGAAGAATCACTTGAACCTGGGAGGCGGAGCTTGCAGTGAGCCGAGATCGTGCCACTGTACTCCAGCCTGGGCGACAGAGCGAGACTCCATCTCAAAAAAAAAAAAAAAAAAAAAAAGAAAGAAATAAAAGAAATGTGCCTATTTGGCCTGCCAGGCCGTAACGGCTATGAGGACAGGGACTGTCTTGACCATCTCCATGTAGCCCACAGGGTCAAGGGCAGCATTCCTACCCTGAAGGCCCTCAAAAAGTATCTGTTCGCAGAAAGACTTTACACTTGTGTCATAATTTGCTGTGACGCGTATGATTACTTCCTCTGCCAAGCACAGTTCCGTGAGGAAGATCAGGACAAGGAGTGATGTTTTCATCTTATATATAGATGAGTCGGCTGAGGCTTGGGAAAGGCTGAATGACTTGCTAACAGGAACACAGCTAGTCAGTGGAAGAAACAGAATTCAAATTCAAGAACGCTAGGCTGGGCGCAGTGGCTCACACCTGTAATCCCAGGATTTTGGGAGGCCGAGGCAGGCGGATCACCTGAGGTCAGGAGTTTGAGACCAGCCTGGGCAACATGGTGAAACCCCCTTTTCCACTAAAAATACAAATATTAGCCAGGCATAGTGGTGCACGCCTGTAGTCCCAGCTACTTGGGAGGCTGAGGCAGGAGAATCGCTTGAACCGGGGAGGCGAAGGTTACAGTGAGCCGAGACTGCACCACTGCACTCCAGCCTGGGCAACAGAGCGAGATTCTGTCTCAAAAAAAAAAAAAAAAAACAACTCAAGAACTCTGACTCCAAGAGCTGTGTCCGACCCGTCTCGCCCATTCACATACAGAGTGAAGGAGTGATTGAAGAAGCAAAGAATGAATGAAAGGGCCACTGCAGCCCCACTGCACCCCACAGCGAGCGTTCTCTCAGCCCCATAGCAAAGCCTGGAATTGAGTACGCTGAGTATTCCCTGCCCAATCAGAGTCCTGGCGTAAGAGGATGCTTCTCACTTGCAATGCACACTAGAAGTTTCTGGAGACCACACCCTGTGCCCCATGCATCCCCCACACCTCCAACAGTGCTGAACAAGAGATTCCCGACTGGCCCAGAAAGGACACACCTGCTCTCCCTGGAGAGAGAGGAGGCGGAGGTGAAGGCTGACAGGAGCCCACAGTTCACACTGACGTGGGTAACCACAGGGGCCTGTCTAGAGTTTTTGCTGTTGCTCGAAGGTTGGCTAAAGTCCTAGGCCCCTGCCTGTCCATTCTGGGTCCCTCCCTGGACCAGAAGGTGAGCAGGGAATAGGCAGAAAGGGTCACCCACCTCCCTATCTGGGTCACAGCCTTGAAGCCCCAGCTGGCGAGGCCCCAGGCCATGAGGCAGCCACCCTGGGATTCTCTGCCAATCATCCTGCGGCCATCAGGAACAGGGCTGACTCATGCCCAGAGCTCAAAAGCCGACTCCCAAGGGAGGTAACAGCTTTACCCCACTCTAGGCCGCAGATAGAAGAGACAAGTGACATTTTTAAAGTGTGTTTGTTTTACAGATTTACAGAACACAGGTGAGGAAAAAAAAAGAAAACAGGAGAGGAGAAAATGAGGGAGAGAGAGAGGAAAGACAGAAGGGTGGAGAGAGAAGCTTTTGGAAGCTTTTAGATCGAAGGCGCTTCCCTCTCCATCAAGGCCAAAATCCATCCGTTAAAAGGCTGCCCGGCTGGGGAAGGTGCCGAGAGCAGGGCAGCACGTGGAGTGGAAGCCAGAGGAAAGGGAACCGCAAAGGCTGGGCGAGGCCTTTCTGGACCCTCCCAGAACCCCGAGAGAAATGCCAAGAATGGAGGAGCGTCCCTGGGCTGGGACACCGACCTGCAGACAGAAAGTGCTTTCACACCAGCCTTGGGGAGCTCAGGAAAGGCTTTGCTGCCCCCTCAGAGCTCACAGTGCAGCCCTCAAATGCGCCCCTCCCAAAAGACCATCCTCTCCAGCTCCCCAGCACCACCCACGTGGTCTCCTGGGGGCTGTGGAGCTTGAACACAGAGAAGATGGAGGTAGCCCCTGGAAGCTGCTCTGCTGCCCACCCCACCTTCACATAACCCCGACCAAGACAACCCCGCAGCCTCCCTCAGAAGAGGGGCTGCCCAAGCCCAGGACCATCAGGGGGCCCACAGGGGAGGGGCCTTCAGAAAGAGCACCAAGAACTTCCAGGTTCCCATTTCTTCTTGGGGATCTGACATTCATTCCGCGAGTATCTGTAAAGCACCGACGGTGTGCCAGCATAGCGCTAGCCGCTGGGGACATGACACGAATCAGTCACGTTTGAGTCCCTACTTCCCTCACCCGTGGCCTCCATGGTATCACAAAGTCCTCGCCACCTCCCTAACTGTTCCATCACTCCACCCCGAAGCATGATCTCTCACCTAGACAACGGCACCCGCATCCCAGCCCATCTCCAGCCACTGCACTGAGCAACCCATTCTCCAGGAAGGAGACACAGGGACCATGCTGAAATGAAAAGCCAATCAACCATCCTGGCCAACGTGGCGAAACCCCATCTCTACTAAAAATGCAAAAATTAGCCAGGCGTGGTGGCGCATGCCTGTAATCCCAGCACTTTGGGAGGCCAGGGTGGGTGGATCATGACGTCAAGAGATGGAGACCAGCCTGGCCAACGTGGCGAAACCCCGTCTCTACTAAAAATGCAAAAATTAGCCGGGCGTGGTGGCGCGTGCCTGTAACCCCAGCTACTTGGGAGGCCAAGGCAGGAGAATCACTTGAACCTGGGAGGTGGAGGCTGCAGTGAGTTGAGATTGTGCCACTGCACTCCACCCTGGGGGACAAGAGTAAGACTCTATGCCAAAAAAAAAAAAAAATTAGCTGGGCGTGGTGGTGCACACCTGTAATCCCAGCTACTCAGGAGGCTGAGGCAGGAGAATTGCTTGAACCCAGGAGGTGGAGGCTGCAGTGAGCCAAGAACGCACCACTGCACTCTAGCCTGGGCAAAAGAGTGAGACTACATCTCAAAATTAAAAAAAAAAAAAAAAAAAGGCCAGGCACAGTGGCTCATGCCTGTAATCCCAGCACTTTGAGAAACTGAGGCAAGTGGATCACGAGGTCAGGAGATCGAGGCCATCCTGGCTAACACAGTGAAACCCCACCTCTACTAAAAATACAAAAAATTAGCCAGGCGTGGTGGCAGGCACCTGTAGTCCCAGCTACTCGGGAGGCTGAGGCAGGAGAATGGCGTGAACCCGGGAGACAGAGGTTGCAGTGAGCCGAGATTGCGCCACTGCACTCCAGCTTGGGCGACATAGCGAGACTCCGTCTCAAAAACAAACAAATAAAAAAAAGCAGATCACACCCACTAGGATGGCCATCATCGAGAAAAAAAGAAAAAAGCAAAAAAACAGATAACAATAAACGTTATCAAGAATGCAGAGAAACTGTAGCCCATTGTTGAAAAGTGTGGACGCTCCTCAAAAAGTTACACAAACAATTACCATATGACCCAGCAATTCCACTCCAGAAAACATTTCCAAACAAAAACATGTACACAAGTGTTCATAGCAACACTATTCACAATGATCACAGGTGAAAGAAACACAAATGTCCATGAACGAATGAGTGGATAAACAAAACGTGGCACACCAACACAAAGGAACATTATTCAACCCTGAAAAGGAATGAAGTGCCGTTACGGATTCGTGCTACAATGTGGATGAATGCTGGCTAAGTGGAAGAAGCCACACACAGACCACCACCTACTGTGTGATTCCATCTACACACTGAGCATCCCAAATCCAAAAAGCTGAAATCCAAAATGCTCCCAAATCCTAAACTTTTTCAGTGCCAACATGGTGCTCAAAGGAAATGCTCACTGGCACATTTTTTCTTTTTTTTTTTTTTGAGGCAGAGTCTCACTCTGTCCCCCAGGCTGGAGTGCAGTGGCACGATCTCGGCTCACTCCAGCCTCTGCCTCCCAGGTTCAAGCAATCCTCCTGCCTCAGCCTCCCGAGTAGCTGGGATTACAGGCGTGCACCACCATGCCCAGCTAATTTTTGCATTTTTAGTAGAGATGGGGCTTCACCATGTTGGCCAGGCTGGTCTTGAACTCCTGACCACAAATGAGCCACCTGCCTCGGCCTCCCAAAGTGCTGGGTTACAGACATGTATCACCACACATGGCTAATTTTTGTATTTTTAGTAGAGATGGGGCTTCACCATGTTGGACAGGCTGGTCTCGAACTCCTGACCTCAAATGATCCACCCGCCTCGGCCTCCCAAAGTGCTGGGATTCCAGGCGTGAGCCACCGTGCCTGACCTCGGCACATTTCAGATTTTGAATTTTCAGAGTAGGGATGTTGAACCACTAAGTACAATGGAAATACAGCAAAATCCAAAAAAAATATGAAATCTGGTCCCAAGCATGTCAGATAAGACACACCCAACCTGCATTATGAAATGCTCAGAAGAGGCAAATCCATAGAGACAGAAAGTAGATGGTAGTTGCTTCGGGATGGGGGAGGCGGGGGTGGGAGTGACGGCTAATGGATACAGTTTCCATCTGGATGATGAACATGGTCTGGAGAATGGTAGTGAGGATCCCAAAACACTGTGAACAGGACTTGATGCCACGGAACCGTATACTTTAAAATGATTCAAGTGAGACACTGTGTGTGATGTGTATTTTACCACAATAAAAAAAAAAAAAAAAGAAGAAGGTGAAAAATAAATGTGAGGTGGATTATTCTGTCCTCCTTCCATGGCTCCCATGACCATGTGGCTCAAACCCAACTCTCCGCACCCCCTTGTCCCAACGGCCCCACCCAGCCTCATCTCCCACCCCTCTCACTTCCTCTCCACACCTGCCCCAACCGGTCTACACAGCCTGTGGGTTCCTGTGATGAGCCCTCCCACTCACACTACTCCCTCTGTCTAGACCCTTCTCTCACCCACACTCCCATCCCCCCCAAGCCTTCGTCTTCCTGTATCCTAATCATCCTCCAGGTCTCTGCCTGAATGTCCCTCCCTTCCGATGTCATCCATCAGTCCCCGTGCTCTCTGCCACCACGGCACCCTGCTCCCAGCCCCCTGCTCCCAGCCCCTCAGTTGTCACGATCAGTCTGATGCCTGTCCTTCCCGCTGGACGGTGAGCTCCAGGAGGGCAGGAATCAGGCCTACCTGGTCCCCATTGGATATTCAGCACCCACCCAGCCTGAAGGACCCTGCGGTCTCTTGGGAGACATGAACAGACAGCAGATGATCCTGCCCTCACCAGCCCCCCAAACTCTCCAAGCATTACAGTAGGGCTCAGGAGGAAAAAAGTAATGGACAAGAGACGAGCAGGAGACATCAGTGGGGATGGATCTGAATGGAGGGAGAGGGCTCAAGGCAAGGAGGAGGACCCAACAGGAAGCAGGGACTTTCTTTTTTTTTTTTTTGAGATGGAGTCTCGCCCTGTCGCCCAGGCTGGAGTGCCATGGTGCGATCTCAGCTCACTGCAACCTCTGCCTCCCGGGTTCAAACAATTCTCCTGTCTCAGCCTCCTGAGTAGCTGGGATTACAGGCGCCGACCACCATACCCAGCTATTTTTTGTATTTTTAGTAGAGACGGGGTTTCACCATGCTGGCCAGGCTGGTCTTGAACTCCTGATCTCGTGATCTGCCCGCCTTGGCCTCTCAAAGTGCTGCGATGACAGGCATGAGCTGCCACGCCCAGCCAAGGGACTTTCAATGTAAGAAGGGCTTTGTGGCCGGGCGCAGTGGCTCACGCCTGTAATCCCAACACTTGGGGAGGCCGAGGCGGGTGGATCACTTGAGGTCAGTAGTTCGAAACCAGCCTGGCCAA
Source organism: Homo sapiens (assembly GCF_000001405.40). NCBI lineage: Eukaryota > Metazoa > Chordata > Mammalia > Primates > Hominidae > Homo > Homo sapiens. The sequence goes on along the minus strand of NC_000017.11, from coordinate 2,879,318 downwards.
CATGGTGAAACCCCAGCTCTACTAAGTTTACAAAAATTAGCCAGTTATGGTGGCGGGTGCCTGTAAAACTAGATACTTGGGAGGCCGAGGCAGGAAAATCACTTGAACCGGGGAGGCAGAGGTTGCAGTGAGCTGAGATCACGCCACTGCACTCCACCCTGAGTGACAAGAGCAAGACTCTGTCTCAAAAAAAAAAAAAAAGAAGGGCTTGGAGGTGGGGCCAAGCCAGGTGCATGCAGTGGGTAGGGCAGGAAGGAGGAGGCAAGGCCAGTGTCCATCCTGACCTTGCCACACCCTCCAGAGATAACAGAACCTCACTGAGCACTGGCCAGCGCCGGCCTCCGGGCTCAGCATGTCACACACCCCATCTCACTGATCGTCACAACCGTCACGGGAAGAGGGCACTATTATTACCCCATCACACGGATGAGAAAACCGGGGCCCAGCAAGCTGCAGCACCTTGCGCGTGCTCACGCAGCTACCAAGTGGCTAAGTGGGCTCTGGGGCCCAGGTTTGCCTGAGTCCACCGTGGGGCTCCTGGGCAGCAGGGATACCCAAATGCTTCCGGACAGGCCCACTGGGACAGGTGCATCAGAAGCAGAGAGCCAGGGTTGGCTGGCTTCCCTCATGGGCCCACAGGCTGCCGCCTCCTTCAGGGGAGAGGCTCCTGCTCCCTTCCTTAGTTAGGCTGATGAACCAGCAGGAACCAGCGAGAGAAACCCCTGCCCTAAATCAAGGGTGTTGGTTAGACCACCTAAGCCATGATCGGAAGGGGTGGTGGTTAGACCACCTAACCAACGCCCTTGCCTAGGTGATGCACCTTTCGAGTCAGCGATACGGCATACAGACAGGGGCTTCCGCAGCTCTGACCACCCTCCCTATGCCCTCTCCCACTCAGCCTCACCCACACCAAGGCTGCACCCACCAACCCAAGGACGACTCCTCATTTTCCACCGCCAGCCTGGGCTGAGCTCCAGATGCCACATCCCCGGGGGGGTCTCACAGGCACCTCGAACCCAATGTGTCCCTAAATGACCTCATCGTTTCCCCCAACCTGCTCCTCCTCCTAGGTTCTCTTGCAATTAAAGGCACAATGTGTTCCTGACTCCCCTTCCCTTATGCCTGACACCCAACCCCTTGCTACTCTAAGTGTGTCCCCGGCCGGCAACATAATGTCACCCAAAAGCAGACTCCAGGACCCAGCCCAGACCCACCTTTACGCATCTGCATTTCCAGAGGATGCCAGGTAACGCGTGTGTCCATGAAAGTGTATTAAGCACAGCTCTAACAACAAGCCTTTCACTCTGCCTCCTACACGTCTCTCAGCTCAGTCAATGCACCCCAATCCCCCTCCACCATCATCTCCAAGCCACTGACACCTTCCCAGCCAATCTCCAGGATCCCACTCTGGTCCCACTCCCAAACTGTCTCCCCCAGGAGCTACAGGGACCTTCCAAAATGTCAACCTGATCATATGAGCCCCCTATCTAAGGCCTTGAAATGGCTTCCTGTCACCCTCACCATGAGAACCAAATTTCAAGCATTCATTCACTAAAACCAAATTTCAGGCATTCATTTAATTCTCTGTCACCCAGGCTGAAGTACAGTGGCGCAATCTCAGTTCACTGCAACCTCCACCTCCCAGGTTCAAGCAATCCTCATGCCTCAGCCTCCTGAATAGCTGGGATTACAGGTGCCCGCCACCATACCCAGTTAATTTTTTGTGTTTTTTTAGTAGAGATGGGGTTTCACCATGTTGGCCAGGCTGGTCTTGAACTCCTGACCTCAGGTGATCCACGCGCTTTGGCCTCCCAAAGTGCTGGGATTACAGGTGTGAGCCACCACACCCGGCCAGGCAGGGAGATTTGTGAGCAGAGCAGAGATGTGATGTGTCCCACAGTTTCACAGGATCACTCTGGCTGCCTTACGGAGGACGGACTGTAAGGGGAAAAACATGGCCGCAGGGAGGCTGGCTGAAAGGTTCCTCAATAATCCAGGTGACAGCTGATGATGGACTGGCCTCAAAAGACCGTGGTGGAGATGGGAGATATGATCCGTCTCTGGATGCATCATGGAGGCAGCAACAGAGCATGCTGACAAGTGGACATGGGGAATAAGAACATAAACCAAGGCTGGGCACAGTGGCTCACGCCTGTAATTCCAGCACTTTGGGAGGCTGAGGCGGGTGCATCACCTGAGGTCAGGAGTTCGAGACCAGCCTGAGCAACATGGAGAAACCCCGTCTCTACTAAAAATACAAAAATTAGCTGGGTGTGGCAGCGCATGCCTGTAGTCCCAGCTACTCGGGAGGCTGAGGCAGGAGAATCGCTTGAACCCGGGAGGTGGAGGTTGCGGTGAGCCAAGATCACGCCACTGCACTCCAGCCTGGCAACAGAGCAAAACTCCGTCTCAAGAAAAAAAAAAAAAAAAAAGAACGTAAACCAAAAATAACATTCTAAGGCCCCCAACCAACTGATGACCCTTCCCCTCAGCCAAGGGCATTCCAAAGTTAGCCAGAAAAACTGGTTCAGGCCATGATGGGAAGGGGTGGTCGGACATGCCTCCTTATGCTCTCCTCGCCTTTGGAATTCAGCCCCAGCTGACCAGCATCAACATCAGCACAGGGACCTAAAGACTCATAGAACAGACTCCAGGTCTATAAGAAACATTTGCTATCTCATCTCTCGGAAACCTGCTACCTGGAGGCGTCACCCGCATGATGAAACCTTGGTCTCCACGGCTGCTTATCTTAACCCTGACATTCCTTTCTATGGATTCCAGGTCTTTAGATAAACTCACTCAATGAACTGCCAATCAGAAAATCTTTGAATCCACCTATGGACCCTCCAAAACCCCCGATTCTGGTTGTCCTAACCTTCCAGACCAAACCAATGGACATCTTACATGGATGGACTGATGTCTCACGTCTCCCTAAAATGTATAAAACCACCTGTAGCCCAACCACCTTGGGCACTTGTTCTCGGGATCTCCTGGGGCTACATTGGTCACTCTTATTTGGCTCAGAATAAATCTCTTCGAATATTTTACAGAGTTGGACTCTTTTCATCTATAAAAACAATGTAGCCAGGCGCGGTGGCTCATGCCTGTAATCCCAGCACTTTGAGAGGCCGAGGCAGGCAGCTCACAAGGTCAGGAGATCAAGACCATCCTGGCTAACACGGTGAAACCCCGTCTCTACTAAAAATACAAAAAATTAGCCGGGCGTGGGGGCGGGTGCCTGTAGTCCCAGCCACTCGGGAGGCTGAGGCAGGAGAATGGCGTGAACCCGGGGGGCGGAGATTGTGGTGAGCCGAGATCGCATCATTGCACTCCAGCCTGGGCGACAGAGCCAGATTCCATCTCAAAAAAAAAAACAAACAAACAAACAAAAAACAATGCAGAGAAGTCAAGCTGGGGAAGGCTACAGGAAGGATGACTTTGGCGGGGCAAGAATGAAGACCTGGAGTTGGGACACGTTCAGCTTGGAAGAACTATCGGATGTCCAAGCGGAGATCACCAAGGGAGACAGAGAAGAGGAAGGGGCCCAGGCACGACAGCAGGTGGAAGGCCAGCAGAGGAGGAGGATGAGACAGACAGGCGGCGAGACGGAGGGAAACCAGGAGGACAAGACATTCACTGTCGTGAGAAAAAAAGGCAATGTTGAATCTGAGAAATGCAATCCTCCTGTCACGGTCAGGCCCAGAGAGGCACTGAAAAGCAACAGCGGTCCCTCTCACCCGCTCCATGAGCTAAGTAATCACTTCTTGAAGCCACTTGCTACATGAGCCCTAAACTAACTGATGCCACATAGCCATACACTGGACGCCATCACTCAGACCCTAGAGCTCAACAACGCACAGCCAATGTTACCCCTGTAACCAGTTAGAATGCCCATCCAACAACTTCATATCACCCCACTCCCTGTCCCCTTTGCCTTTACAAACCTGCTTGTGGCCGGGTGCAGTGGCTCATGCCTGTAATCCCAGCACTTTGGGAGGCCGAGGCAGGCAGACCACCTGAGGTCAGGAGTTCGAGACCAGCCTGGCCAACATGGCAAGATCCCATCTCTACTAAAAACACAAAAATTCACCAGGCGTGGTGGTGCACGCCTGTAATCTCAGCTACTCCGGAGACTGAGGCAGGAGAATTGCTTGAACCCGGGAGGCAGGGGTTGCAGTGAGCCGAGATCGCACCATTGCACTCTAGCCTGGGCGTCAAGAGCAAGGCTACATCTCAAGAAACAAAACAAAACAAAAACTTGCTTTTAACAAATGTCGAAGGGCGCCGTCCCCAAGGTAATTTTGAAGCGTCCCTGGCAGCTGTCCTCAACTTTGGCCCGAGCAAACTCTCTATATTAATTTTCTCTCTGTTTCTTTCTCTAGGTCGACAGTCATGAGCAAAATGGAGACAGCCTTTTGAGAAGCGAGTATGAGGCTGTGTGAGGGATGCCAAACTGAGGGCAGAGGGTGACCACCGGGTCCAGAACCAGAGTGGCTGCTGGGCATTGGTGAGAAGCAGAGGCAGAACTTCAAGAACTTCTGCTATACAGGAGAGCAGAGAGCTCGCAAGCTAAACGTGGGGTTTCAAGGGTTTGGGGCTTTTCCTGGCTGGGTGGCTGCTCCTTTGTTTCCATGGGTGATGTAGCACCTACCGTCTCATTTCCTCCAGAATCCAGCCCCAGGCTGAGGCCTCTGACTGGTTCAGGCTGTTGACCTTGATCGGGTCCTTTCTCCCTCCCCCTTTTCCACCTCTTTCTCCTTTCCTCTCCACGTCATTCTTATGCACATACACTGAATACCTGCTTGAAATGAGGGTGCCAGAAATGCTCTTTGTAGATAGGTCATCTCAGCCCTGACTTTTACAAGCTTCCAATGCCTCCGTCAGCCCGGGGCCTCAGGTGAGGAGGACCTAAAAGCTTAACTCTCCACAGGAAAAGACCCAGACCTTACCCTAGATAAGAGCTATGAATTTTTCTGAAATTCCAACCATTCCTCCCTTGGAGTTTAGAGTGTTTTTAGTCTTCAAGAGTCCCCATTTAAATGCAAATGTCCAGTTGGCAGAGGGGAGAAAGGGGAGGGAGGGTGTACCCATTGTTCCCCAGGCACAGAGCTCAATCTTATGCCTCTTATTTAATCTGCAGAATACAGACTCTTTTATTATCCACACTTTACAAATGAGAAACTGATTCTTTGAGAAATCAGGTAACTTGTCCACAGTCAGAGAGCTAGAAAATGAGAAAGCCAGGCCAGGTGCAGTGGCTCATGCCTGTAATCCCAGCACTTTGGGAGGCTGAGACGGGTGGATCACCTGAGGTCGGGAGTTCAAGACCAGCCTGGCCAACATGGTGAAACCCGCCCCCCCCCACCGCGTCTCTACCAAAAATACAGAATTAGCCAGGCGTGGTGGCGCATGCCTGTAATCCCAGCTACTCGGGAGGCTGAGGCAGGAGAATCACTTGTACCCAGGAGGCGGAGGTTGCAGTGAGCTGAGATCGCGCCACTGCACTCCAGCCTGAGCAACAAGACTGGAACTCCATCTCAAAAATAAATAAATAAATAAATAATAAAGTATACAATTCAGTAGCATTAAGTACATTCACGATGTTATGTAACCACCACCACTAATTCCATAACTTTTTCATCACCCCAAAAGGAAACTGGTCTGTTGAGTTTTGAATGAGGAATACATTAGCAGGGCTCAAACGCCAAAATTATTAGAAGGCCTATTTTGTCTTATCCTTGTCCCAATCTGTCCACTTATTCAGCCTGTGAAATGATCTTTACACACCTTTCTGCAGCTGCTGCTGCTTTTTTTTTTTTTTTTTTTTTTTTTTTTTTTTTTTTTGAGACAGGGTCTCATTCTATTACCCTGGCTGGAGTGCAGTGGCAAAATCTCAGCTCATTGCAACCTCCGCCTCCTGGGCTCAGGCGATCCTCCCACCTCAGCCTCCCAAGTAGCTGGAACCACAGGCATGCCCCGCCCCAACCGGCTAATTTTTTTTTTTTTTTTTTTTGTATTTTTGGTAGAGATAGGGTTTCACCATGTTGCCCAGGCTGGTCTCGAACTCCTGAGCTCAAGCAATCTGCCCACCTCAGCCTCCCAAAGTGCTGGGATTACAGACATGAGCCACTGCACCCAGCCTACTGCAGCTTCTTTATGCAAATACAAGCCAACACAACACAAAGATGAAGTACTATTTTCCGTTTTTTTTTTTTTCAGACAAAGTCTCAGTCTGTCCCCTAGGCTGGAGTGCGGTGGCGCAATCTCAGCTCACTGCAACCTCCGCCCCTCGGGTTCAAGCGATTCTCATGCCTCAGCCTCCCAAGCAGCTGGGATTACAGACACCCACCACCGCACCCAGCTAATTTTTGTATTTTTACTAGAGTCCCACTTTTGGGAGGCTGAGGTTGGAGGATCGCTTGAGCCCAAGAGTTTGAGACCAGGCCTGGGCAACAAAGTGGGATCCAGTCTCTACAAAAACTTTGCCAGGCATGGTAGTGTGCACCTGTGAGGAGGCTGAGGCAGGAGGATCCCTTGAGCCCAGGAGGTCAAAGCTGCAGTGTTCACACCACTGCACTCTAGCCTGGGTGACAGAACAAAACTTTGTCTTTGTAAAAAAAAAAATCTAGGGAGAACTTTCCATCAAGTGTGAAAGTTGTCAGTATCAAAAACGGAGTGGCTTACATCAAACCCTAACAAAAGGAAGCCATGAAGAAAAGGCCCTCGCGCATGACTGCGGGTAACAGAAACTGCCGGGAAGGGCTGTCCCTGCTGGAACTTTCCAGTTAAGCCACTTCTGTGAAGACCCTCTCCTAGCAGCAGCCAATACCACCAAGAACAAAAGCCCCCTCCTGAGATAAGCCTCTGTAACCAACGGTCTTTGTTTCAAAGCAGCTTATATGACCTTCTTTTTCCTCTAAAAGCTTCCCCTTGTCCCACTCCCCTCGGATGTGCCTATGGTCCATCAGAGCATGGACACCTCAGATTGCAACCCCTTGCTATTCCCAAAGAAACTCTTTGTTTTGGAGAACTCGTCTTTCTGTCACTCATTTTAGGCTGATGCAGTTACACAGACAGCTTCACCTTTTTTTTTTTTTTTTTTTTTGAGACAGAGGCTCATTCTGTCATCCAAGCTGGAGTGCAATGGTGCAATCTCAGCTTACTGCAACCTCCACCTTCTGGGTTCAAGCGATTCTCCTGCCTCAGCCTCCCGAGTAGCTGGGATTACAGGCGTGCATCACCACACCCAGCTAATTTTTGTATTTTTAGTAGAGACCATGTTGGCTAGTCTGGTCTCGAATTCCTGGCCTCAGGTGATTCACCCACCTCAGCCTCCAAAAGCGCTGAGATTCCAGGCGTGAGCCACCACGCCTGGCCTCATCATTCTATTTTAAGTAGTTAGTCCATGGTATGAATGTGAAATAATTTAGGCAGCCAGTTCACTATGAATAGGGATTTGGTTGTTTCCAGTGTTTTGCTATTTCAAATAATATTGCCGTGAATGACCTCATTCTACGTCATTCCACGTGTGTGGAAAGATGCACATCTGACAGATCCCCAGAGGTGGCTCACTGGGTCAAGGAGGATAGCATGGATAATGGAGACAGCTACTGCCAAACTGTACTGCCCATGGGATGGTACCAATTGAACCCCAATGAAATCAGCATGAAGGTGAGGGTCCACGTGCTCACCCAACACGCCGTGCTGGCACCCCCGTGGCTGGCACCAACTCCAAAGCAGCTTTTGTCTATGGTGTTTGCTGGCCCTACCGCTGTTGCCTCTCCCTCCTCTGTAATGAAGCTCCCCACCTCTGCTTTAGGGAACTGCCCCTCTCCCGCTGGACAGGACTCTTGTAACACAACACCACTCTGACCAGAGTGCGCCCCTGACTCTCCCTGGGCCAATCATGGCTCCCCGCTCCCACCCCTGCACATAGGGACTGAGATGGACACACAATCCAGGCCAATCAGAACTCCTCCCTGGAATGTATCTAACCAGAGCTGTTGGAAAGGAGCTTTCCTTCCTCTCTGGGGGAAATTCAGCCATTAAAATGTTTAGCCCTTGGCTGGGCGCAGTGGCTCATGCCTGTAATCCCAGCACTGTGGGAGGCCGAGGTGGGTGGATCACCTGAGGTCAGGAGTTCAAGACCAGCCTGGCCAACATGGTGAAACCTCGTCTCTATTAAAAATACAAAAATTAGCCAGGTGTGGCGGCGCATGCCTGGAATTCCAGCTACTTGGGAAGCAGAGGCAGGAGAATCACTTGAACCCAGGAGGCGGAGGTTGCAGTAAGCCAAGATCGCACCACTGCACTCCAGCCTGGGTGACAAGAGTGAAACTCTGTCTCAAAAGAATAATAGTAATAATAAAATAAAATGAAACGTTTAGCCCACAAGGATCTACAACCATGGATCCAACATCATGGAGACAGATGGCCCAAGAGAATGAAGCCAACACAAAGAGACACAGTGACGAGACAGAGAGGAGTTCTGCCAATGCCCCTGGATCCAGCTGTTTCTGAGGCCCAACCCTTTCCACAGATGGGTTACCCCAGCCAATAAACCCCCTTATTTTGTTTGGCTAATTCAAGATGGGCCTCTGTCACTTGCCACCAAGGGTCTTGACTAATGTACTGTACCTAAAGTATAATCCCGCCTTTGTTACAATACAGAGAAACAGACGTAGATGCAGATGTAAGTATATTACGTGAAAGGGTGTGCTTTTGCATAGAAAAAAAAGACCACAAAAAAAATATTAAACGTTAATATCTCTACAGTCTCCCTTGTGGGACTGAAGGTGATTTTTATTTTAATCCTTGTGCTTTTCTGTGTTTTCCAAATTTTCTGCAAGGAACAAGGATTTTTAAAATATAATAAACATTTCTTTCAAAAACCAGATTGTCAGGCAGGGCACGGTGGCTCATGCCTGTAATCCCAGCACTTTGGGAGGACGAGGCAGGCAGATCACGAGGTCAAGAGTTTGAGACCAGCCTGGCCAACATAGTAAAACCCCGTATTTACTAAAAATACAAAAAAATTAGCCAGGTGTGGTGGTGGGCGCCTGTAATCCCAGCTACTCGGGAGGCTAAGGCAAGGAGAATCACTTGAACTTGGGAGGGAGGTTACAGTGAGCCGAGATTGCACCATTGCATTCCAGCCCGGGTGACAGTGCGAGACTCCATCTCCAAAAAAAAAAAAAAAGATTGTCAAGCAGCAGCACAGAGTGCACTCTGAGGAAGGTTCTGAGGCCATGCCGGGGTCAGGGGCCATACAGATTCCCACCCCTGAGGCCTGCTCTGCAGGTCAACGCACCCTGGAGTAGCTGCTGCCCATCTCAAAGCAGGCCAGCAGGTCACAGAGGGCATCCACATTGTGGTCACAAAACTCAAGCCCTCCACTCACGTGGCCCGGAGCCACGTTCCACCTGGGCCACTTGCTGACCCCCTATACGTCCCCGCTCACCAGATCAGCCTCCTAGGAGAGCGCCACAGGGTGCTGGCTGACGGCTGGCCATGAGCCCAAGACTGCAGGAAAGGGAAATGTCAGGATGAGAAGGGAGCTCGCAGAAGGTGGCCCAGCGCTGCCCGCACCTGCTCCCGGGACCTGACCTTCCCCAGCAACACGTGACCCTCAGTGGGGGTGTGAGCTTGGGCAGGACAGAGCCCTGAGGGACCTTCAACTTCAGAACGTGGGCTGTTGGGGAAGGGAGGGCTGCTGCTTCCCTGGAGTCCCCAAGGCACTTTGGTTCCCAACTCAGCTGAGCATTCACAGAGACCAGGCGAGAACCACCAGCCAGCCCACCCCATCTTCAACCAGAGGAACGCTTTTTCTATTGTACATATTAAGGTTTTGCATAAAGTTTGTTTAGGTTTTTTTTTTTTCATCATTTTACCCCTTTTTAAGTTTGCAATTCAGTGGCATTTACATCGTTGTACAACTAACCCCATTGTCCATTTCCAGAACTTTATCATCATCCCGAACAGGAACTTTGTACACATTCAACAAAAATTCTCTTTCCCTCCAACACCTGGCAACCTCTATTCTACTTTCTGCCCCTAGGAATTTGCCTATTCTAGGTGCCTCATATAAGCATACTATACACTATAAGAGTAGATAGACTATAGACTATATTTGTGCACCCCTTAAAATTTCTGTGTTGAAATCCTAACTAACACTGCCGTGGTATGAGGAAGAGGGGCCTTTGGGAGGTGATTGGGTCAGGAGGAGTGAAGCCCTCATGAATGGAATCAGTGCCTTGGAAAAGAGGCCCCTGAGAGCTCCCTTGCCCCTTCGCTATGTGAGAACATGGCGAGAAGACGGTTGTCTGTGATGCAGGATTTGAGCCCTCATGAGACACCCCATCTGCCAGTACCCTGAACTTGGACTTTCCAGCTTCCAGAAGTGGGAGAAGTAAATGTTGGTTTAAGCCACTCAGTCTATGGTATTTTGTGATAGCAGCTCAAACAGACACAGACAAAGTGGAATTAAACACTATCTGTTCTGGCCGGGCACAGTGGCTCACACCTGTAATCCCAGAATTTTGGGAGGCCAAGGCAGGCAGATCACCTGAGGTCAGGAGTTCGAGACCAGCCTGGCCAACATGGTGAGACCCTGTCTCTACTAAAAAATACAGAAATTAGACAGGCGTAGTGGCACATGCCTGTAATCCCAGCTACTCGAGAGGCTGAGGCAAGAGAATAGCTTGAACCTGGGAGGTGGAGCTTGCACTGAGCTGAGATCGTGCCACTGCACTCCAGCCTGGGTGACAGAGCAAGACTCCATCTCAAAAAAAAAAAAAAAAAAATTGCACCTGGTAGAGGAATTGCTAAATAAGATTTTTGCCTACACACATAAAAGACTTTCATTAGTCTTAGTCGCATTTCACACATGGGAAAGCCAAGGGCCGCAGTTTCGACACCATGTACGTTCAAGATCATATATCCCCCTGGGTTTTTCCTGAGGCCGCTCCTCTGCCCTTCTGCAGTCGTGTTTTTGCCATCTAGAGGTGCCTATCTCTAAGACCTCTGAGACTTCCTCTGGGCCTGGCCCTCCACCAGGGGGATGGATAGCAGAGAGCCAGCCCTTCTCTCAGCCAGGGCCTCGTAACCAAAAGCATCCACTGGCCAGACGTCTGGAAGGAGGGGCAATCTGTATTCAAGGAATCCGGACCTGCTGGGGTGGAGGGCAGCTGGGTGCCACAAAGCATAAGCAAAACAGGAAGGGGACACATTATCCAATCCCAGAGCCGAGAGCCAACCCCGAGCAAAGCCAGGCTGTCCTCTCAGACCAGGTCCAGCGCGGTCACAGGCTGAATGCTTTGATGTTCAGAATGGACTCAGAGAAAAGACAGCCCAGGAAGTGTGTTTACTACCAAAGGCTTGGGGATCCCGCGAGCTGCATCCGTGAAGAAGAAAGCACACCTCATCCAGCCAAGGCAGAAGGAAGCCTCCTTGCGTCTGGGAGGGTACCAGCAGCTGCAGCCACCAGCCAAGTTGACAAGACCGTGCCAAGATCAGCATCAACTAAGCCACTAGGGCCAGCAGAGTGGACAGCTGTTGGCATTTTTACTGCCCAGCTTCCATCCCCTGAGCTTCTGAGAGCAACATGCCAGGTTTCCTTAGGTGACCCATCCCTCCTATACTCCCAGCCAAGTCCCTGCATCCCGGGAACCAGCGGTGGGCGTAAGACCTAGACTTCATGAATCAGTGTATCCCACCCCTCTGGCCAAAGTTCAGGGATGCGTATGTGACTCACTTTCTGTCCAGGGTGAGCCATCCCTGGGACATCTGCTGAAATGATTGGGAAACAGATTTGCTCTTCCTGTTGGTATTGCTAAGTGGGTAGAAGGTCAGCCCAGGGCAGCCATCGTCCATCTTCGTGGATAAGGTACCTGAGGACGAAGGCAACCCAAAGGAAGGCACAGCCTAGAGACGGGGTGAAAGAACCAGTGTCCAAAGACCCCACTGGAGCTCTCGATCCAGCCAGGCCTGAATCCGTCCCCCTTGAACCTTCCAGTTACCTAAACCCCAAAGCTTCATTTTTTCTTTACATTAATTTGAATTGGGGCTTGCCACTTCAAACCAAAAGTTTCTTGACTAAATCAGCTAAATGACCAATCAGAGGCCAGGCACGGTGGCTCACACCTGTAATCCCAGCACTTTGGGAGGCCAAGGTGAGGGGAATCACGACACCAGGAGTTCGAGACCAGCCTGGCCAACATGGTGAAACCCCGTCTCTACTACAAATACAAAAATTAGCTAGACATGACAGTGGGCACCTGTAATCCCAGCTACTTGGGAGAATGAGGCAGAAGAATCATTCGAACCTGAGAGGTGGAGGTTGCAGTGAGCCGAGATTGTACCACTGCACTCCAGCCTGGGTGACAGAGTGAGACTCCATCTCTAAAATAAAAAATAAAATAGGCCGAGTGCAGTGGCTCACACCTGTAATCCCAGCACTTTGGGAGGCCAAGACAGGCAGATCGCTTGAGGCCAGGAGTTCGAGACCAGCCCGGCCAACGTGGTGAAACCCCATCTCTACTAAAAACATAAAAATTAGCCGGACCTGGTGGCGGACACCTGTAATCCCAGCTACTCGGGAGGCTGAGACAGGAGAATCGCTTGAACCCGGGAGGCGGAGGCTGCAGTGAGCCGAGATCGCACCACTGCACTCCAGCCTGGCGACAGAGGGAGATGCTGCCTCAAAAAATAATAAAATAAAATAAATAAATAAAATAAATTACCAATCAGAAGGGACATTTGGGGGTATTATCTACTGCCTCACCAACACAAAGGCCCTTGGGCCCCAAACCTCTATTTAATAAAAATCACAATAACACAAATGTTACAGAATTGTTTCATGTATAACACTGACTGACTCTGTTTTTGTATTCTAACTGGGGTACCAACTGCCCTGAGTCTAGGGGAGGCGGGGAGCAGGGAAGCCTCCCACAGCCTGACCTGCCCTTCTTTCCCCAGCATTCAACACCTAACACGAAATGGCCCCAGGCCGCCCTAACAGCCTCATCTCCCACGTTCCCCAGCAGGGAATCCACACCACAGCCAAGGTGGGATCTGAGCGGGCCCCTGTTTTTTTATCTTGGCCCCTTGTCTTCCACTGTCTCCTTTGGGGATGTGCTTCCCACTCCATCTCTCCCTTCAGACATCCTGTCCAGTCCCCGAGGCCCACTTCAAATGCCACCAACTCCAGGCAGCCTTCCTTGGGCGGTCCCCCTTTCTTCTGACCTCCAGGGCTCCCTGCACCTCTTCTCCACACCTCCCTCTTCTGTCTTGGATTCACATTCCATGGTTGATCTCTGCTTCAGGAGCATGGGCTGCTGGAGGCAGGGAGGGCACCCGCATATTGATGGAGGTGAACTGAATGAGTGAATGAACGTTTGGGACACAATCCATTTAAGGAGGGACTGCAGCTTGCATTTGCATTCATGGAGGGGAAAGAGAGGGGCAGATGCCACCAAGAGGGCTGGCAGCCCTTTCTAGAAGGGGGCTGGGGGTCAGAGGAGCTGCAATGTGGAAGCCAGGCATCTCGGTTCCCATCACTTGCACCACGGCTGAGTCCTGCCTCCATGTGGCCATACCCTTGGGGGACCTTCTGGCCATCCACAAGGGGCATTTATTGCTGTCACTCTCAAAAGCCCTTCCTGGCACATTTGCAGATCTCGTTTTCAGATGGCCTGTTTCAGTGACCTATTGATTTACATGCTGTTTCTGTCTGTGCATCTCAAAGATCTTATTAAAATAGACGTTCTATTAAAATACAGATGGCACAGGTAACCCAGGCTGCAGCCGGGACCTTCCAGTTCATATCGAGAAGTGAGAATTTCTGTTCTCATTAGTGAGGCCAGCAGCCAGGAGACCTTTCAGCTTATCTGACACCTGACAGGACAGACCTTTCCCTGCTCTAGGCTCCACCCTCCCCTTAGCTCAGGCTAAGCATTCAAAAGAAGCCCAGCTGTTCCAGAGACCCATCTGATCCCTTCCTTTAAAAACAACCAGAATGTTCTAGGGTGCCAGAGTTCTTAACTCCTTAACAGGAGACCCAAAACAGAGTTTTGGAGTCTTGACCAGGACACCTGGTCTCTCTGAGCTGCACTTCAATCTACTTCATTGGACTGTAGCACGGGGGTGTTAAGTACCTCAGCCAGGGTCACCATATAATTGGTGGTGGGAGAAAAAGCATAGAATTTGGCACCAGACAGATTGGAATCCCAGCTCTGTTATACGAGCTAGGTGACATTGGAGACGCCATCCCTTTTGAACCTCAGCTTTCTCCTCTATGAAGAATGAAGATAATGATCATCAGTGTCATGCAGAGAATGAAATGAGGTAAGTGAAGCATAAGTACCAGGCAGGTGCAGGCCCAGAGCGGGGATCCACGAGTGTTTCTGTCTCTGTCCCTTCTCACGTTATTCCTGAGTTTCTGTACTGCGACGCGCAGCCTCCCATAACTTCTGTCATTTTGTTTGGAGGTAATTCAGGAGGGGGAGGGAGGAGGAATACTTGAAGGCAAATCCACAGTGGCCATTCTGCAGCCCAGCTCCCACAGGGCGCCCCGCTAGGCTGCCGGGACCCCTCCTTTCTCATCGCAATGGATCTGCCAAGACCAAGAAGTCCCAAAGGACGCACAGGACTGGGATGCAACCCCCAGCCTCTGTGTTCACAGGGTTACACCCAGAGCTCCCAACCCCCAGCCTCCTGCTCCCCACACCGTACGTCCCGTCCTTCAGGGAAGGGGCAGGTAGCAAAGGTGTGGCCAGGTGTAGGTGGGCTGCAGTGAGCAGGAGGCTACCAGCCCTGTACTGATCAGGTAGCTAGAAGTTGAGGTGTAATGAGGGAAGGCCAGTCCAGCCAGTGTTCCCAGAGCTTCTGATTTCTCAAGACTGAAAAACAGATTCACAATGTGGAATCTTCCAATTCTAAAATATCAGCTCCAAAGGAAAAAACAAAGTATGTGGGCAGAATAACACCCATCAGGCATGGACGCTCCAGCCAGACAGGGCTTTGCTTCTCTGCTGCCCACTGCTGCGTCCTCAGCACCTAGGACTGTGTCTGGTCCAGAGGACAGGCTTCCTAACCATATGAGGAGTCTGCAGGGGCCCACTCCCCACCTCCGCCTCAGACTGCAAGCTCCTAGGTGGCAGGGCTGCTGCTGTCTGCACTCTCCGCAGTCAGGATGGCATGCTGCTACGTACGGGACAAGACGGTGAGGAACCGGGGGCTCCCGCCGCCACTGTTTTTTTTTTTTGAGGGGGACAGAGTTTCACTCTTGTGGCCCAGGATGGAGTGCAGTGGCGCGATCTCGGCTCACTGCAACCTCCGCCTCCCGGGTTCAAGCGATTCTCCTGTCTCAGCTTCCTGAGTAGCTGGGATTACAGGCACCCACCACCACGCCTGGCTAATTTTTGTATTTTTAGTAGAGACGGAGTTTCACCATGTTGGCTGGTCTCGAACTCCCGACCTCAGGTGATCCGCCTGCCTTGGCCTCCCAAGGCGCTGGGATTACTGGTGTGAGCCACCGTGCCCGGCCCTACCTCCACTCTTACTAGACTCTTAACTCAGCCCCATCCATCAACCAAAGACAAGAGAGATGCCTCCCTTATGGGGTTCTTACAAGTTGCTTTACCCTCCAGAGTAAGCCCTCTTGACAACAGGTATCATCACAGTGCCCTGATCCTGCCACACAGCATTCAGTGTGACTGATAAAGATCTTTACAGTAGAGAAAGAGAAAAAGGCAGAAGAGGGAGAAAGAAGGGAGGAGGTGGCTCTCATCCACAGGCCCCCCGCAACTCCTGCCTTTGGAGAAATGGACTAACCATAAGGCAAGGTCAGCTGTCTCAGGACACACATGGGGCCGACATGTCTCCAGAGGCGTCCCCAGCTCCCAGCCAGGCTGCCCAGCCCTGGAGGACTCTGGAAAGGACTTGGCTGGAGCTCCAGCCTTCATGAAATACAGTGTTCATAACTGATAAGCTTAAAAGCAAGTGACAATTTTTCAATCCACCCTTGCTCCAAGGGCACTGAATAAACACAGCGTCTGCTCCAGGTTCCCACTAGTCTGCCTGGAAGGAGAAGGGAAGGTTGATCAAGTGTACTCACCCCTAGAAATGAGCTTGGATTCTTCGAGACCCTCTTCAGGGTTCAACCAGGACCCCCGCACTCAGAAATCTCAGCTTATGAAATACCAGCCATGTTCTTCCTTCTGCCATGGGTATAAAGGGTACCCCGGGCACCACCCAGACACTCTTAGTGGAATCCCTAAAGTGATGGGCCTGACTTTACTTTTTTTTTTTTTTTTTTTTTTTTTGAGACAGAGTCTGGCTTTGTCACCCAGGCTGGAGTTCAGTGGTGCAATCTCGGCTCACTGCAACCTCTGCCTCCCAAGTTCAAGCAATTCTCCTGCCTCAGCCTCCCAAGTAGTTGAGATTACAGGCGCACGCCACCACGCCCAGCTAATTTTTTATTTTTAGTAGAGACGGGGTTTCGCCACGTTGGCCAGGCTGGTCTCGAACTCCCAGCCTTGAGTGATCCGCCCGCCTTGGCCTCCCAAAGTGCTGGAATTACAGGCGTGAGCCACTGTGCACAGCCCATATTCGGGTTTTCTAACGTTATATAACTATCATACATGGAAAACCAGTATCACTTGCCAGGATTCATTTCTTAAAGTAGCTATTAAAATAAAAAGCACTTGTCCACCTGAAATCATCTTGCCTACCTCACTTACTTTTTATGGATTCAGTAGGCAAAGAAACTGAGTTTGTTGAGGGGCAGGGAGTTGGGGGGCGTGGGGGTGCTTCATCTGCTTAAAATGACTGAGAGACTTCCTGGGCCCTTCAGCAGCCCCCGTCTGAACAGAAGTGCTTTTCGTTGATTTCACCGAACAGGCCTGACAAGCCCTCTATTTGGCAACATCCTGGTAAGCAGCCATCTGTGCACCACACAAGCTCCAAAGAGATAAAACTGCATTTAGAAAAATATATATATTGGCTAATGGCGACTGTCCACTAATTCAGACGCCCACTGCCCCTCTTTGGCATAAATGAAGGGAGGCTGCCTCTGCCAATCAGGCGGCAGTTCCAGGACCCAAGACTTAGGAACGCAGTGTCAAGAAGAGCCCTGGCTCCTGGCCCCAGCTTCAGGACGGTCATGGCTGAGCCTGGTCCCTCTCACGTCTACGGGTCCCAAAGCTATGCAGAGGCAAGGCATAATGACAGAGCTACACACGGGCAAGTGATCATTTGCAATTCTCTACAAAATCTCTTCCAGAAGGAAAGAAAGGAGAGAGAAGGGAGACAGTCCCCAATCTCAGACAAAAGAAAGGGCGCTGAGTATTAAAAGGGCCCCAGGGAGCCAGGCATGGAGGCTCACGTCTGTAATCCCAGCACTTTGGGAAGCCAAGGTGGGTGGATCACCTGGGGTCAGGAGTTCGAGAGCAGCCTGGCCAACATGGTGAAACCCCGTCTCTACTAAAAATACAAAAAATTAGCCGGGCATGGTGGCGGGCACCTGTAGTCCCAGCTACTCAGCACGGGAGGAGGGCCCAGGCTGAGGCAGGAGAATGGCATGAACCTGGGAGGCGGAGCTTGCAGCGAGCTGTGATCGCGCCACTGCACTCCAGCCTGGGCGACAGAGCGAGACTCCGTCCCCCCCCCCAAAAAAAATACAAAAATTAGCTGGGCATGGTGGTGGGTACCAGTAATCCCAGCTACTTGGGAGGCTGAGGTAGGAGAATCGCTTGAACCTGGAAGGCAGAGGTTGCAGTGAACCCAGATCACGCCATTGCACTCCAGCCTGGGCGAGACTCTGTCTCAAAAAAAAAAAAAAAAGACCCCAGAGAAACAGGCAATGGGCACGTTCTACTTAGGGGAGCCAGGAGGCCTCTTGGGCTTCCATCCATTCACTCAGCAAATATTTACTGAGCATCTCCTATTCTGGGCAATGGAGACCCAGAGGTAAAGAAGGCAAAGTTCCCGCTCTGAAACAGTTTCCATTCTAGGGGAGGAAACAGCCAATCAACTATTTATTGCACACACTAGATACGATCAGTAAATGAGGAGTACCATGGAGGAAATACAGCAGGGTAAAGCAGTAATGACTGGAGGGAGCTGCTTAGATTGGATCGTCAGGGGAGGCCTTTTGAAAGAGATGCCATGTGAGTGAAGAGTCCGGGGATGAGGAAGCACCAGCCAATGAGCTCACTGTAAACAGCAGGTGCAAAGGGCCTGTGGCAGGGGCGAGCCTGCCATGTTCCAAGTGTGGAAAGGAGGCCTCCGCAACAGAATCATGGTGATCACCAGGAGGAAAGGACGACAAGTTGGGAGGTGAGGTCACAGAAGCAGGCAGGGGGTGTGGGCCGGACTATGGAGTTGGGATTTCATTTAAAGTATAACGGAAAGTCGGCCAGGCGCGGTGACTCACACCTGTAATTCCAACAGTTTGGGAGACTGAGGTAGGAGGATCACTTGAGGCCAGGAGTTCAAGACCAGCCTGGCCAACATGGTGAAACCCCATCTCTACTGAAAATACAAAAAAATTACCCAGGCACGGTAGTGCGTGCCTGTAATCCCAGCTACTTGGGAGACTGAGGCAGGAGAATCGCTTGAACCCAGGAGGCGGAGGCTGCAGTGAGCTGAGATCGCGCCACTGCACTCCAGAATGGGTGACAGAGCAAGATGCTGTCTCAAAAAAAAAAAAAAAAAAAAAAAAAAAGATAAATAAGTATAATGGAAAGTCTATGGAGAGCTTTCCACAGGAGAGAGACCTGGTTCTATTTGAATGTTTTAAACTCCACTCTGGCCACCATAAGGAGAGAGGATAAGGGAGACTAGAAGCCAGGAGACCAAGCAGGAGATTAAAATAGTGGCTCAGGAGGAATTAAACTCATTTGCACCTCACATTCTGTCCCTTCAACTCGAATGGTCTAAGGCCTCAGACCTTTGGTGAAGTGAATAGTGGGAAGCTGGCTAAAGGGAGGTGTTTGTTCTTTAAAGCAACGACAGCCCACCGGGTGTCATTCAAACATCAGACAGAAGAGGACAGGAGACAGGCCCTTCCAGAAAGGGCAGGACCCAGCTGCCTCCTAAGGAGAGAACAAGCAGCCATCTGTTCTGGGACCAGGGAGTGGATCGGCTCCTGTCTCATGCCCCTTCCAGCTCTGGGACTCTGGGACTGCAAGGCCAGAATTCTGGACAAACCCCAGGCACAGTCCTCATGTCCAGCCAGCTCATGGGGCTGCCTGCAATGGCAGGACACAGGTAATCTCCCGATACCAGGTTCACACCCTAGAAACAAATCAATCAACAATGACTAACGTCGCAAAAAGAGACAACTACACAATTACTAATGGCACGATCTTGCCAAAAAAAAAAAACAAACAATCAACAACAAAAAACAAATCTGATGGTGCCTCTAGAACTAAATACCAACTTACAGGTAACACAGGGGACAGCAGAACATGTTAAATAACACCAGGAGATGCCATCCACAAAATCCTGACTGTGGGAAACTCCACAAGACAAACAGTCCAGTTTCTTCAATAAATAAATTGTAAGAAAAAAAGAGTTGGGTGGGCCATGCACAGCGGCTCACACCTATAATCCCAACACATTGGAAGGCCGAGGTGGGCAGATCACTTGAGTCCAGGAGTTCGAGACCAGCCTGGGCAACATGACGAAACCCCATCTCTACAAAAAGTACAAAAATTAGCTGGGTGTTGTGACGGACACCTGTAGTCCCAGCTACTTGGGAGGCTGAGGTGGGAGAATCACTCGAGCCCAGGAGGCGGAAGTTGCAGTAAGCCAAGATCATACCACTGCACTCCACCCTGGGTGGCAGAGTGAGACCACATCTCCAAAAAAATTAAATTAAAATTTTTTTAAAAGAGTTGAAAGGGCCAAGCAGGGTGGCTCATGTATCCTATAATTCCAGCACTTTGGGAGGCCAAGGTAGGTGGATCACTTAAGGCCAGGAGTTCGAGACCAGCCTGGCCAACATGGTAAAACCCCATCTCTACTAAAAATACAAAAATTAGCCGGCCGTAGTGACAGGCGCCTGTAATCCCAGCTACTTGAGAGGTTGAGGCCCGAGAATGGCTTGAAACCAGGAGGCAGAGGTTGCAGTGAGCCGAGATCGTGCCACTGCACTCCAGCCTGGGTGACAGAGCAAGACTCTGTCTCAAAAAAAAAAAAAAAAAAAAGAGTTGGAGGAAAATACAGATTAAGAGACACATCACCCATCACATAGTATTGTTTGAATTCTGACTCAAAAAAACTTTTGAAAACTTTTACGAGACAACTGGGGAAATTCAAATACTGACTAAATATGGTATTAAGAAATCACTGTTAATTTAGAGGGTATAATAACGGTAGTGTTACGGGGGTTTTTTTAAGAATTCTTAACTTTTTTTTTCCTGTTGCCCAGGCTGGAGTGCAATGGCTCTATCTCAGCTCTCTGCAACCTCTGCCTCTGGGTTCAAGCAACTCTCATGCCTCAGCCTCCCGAGTAGCTGGGACCAAAGGCACATGCCACCATGCTCAGCTATGTTTTTTTATTTTTTTTGTAGAGATGAGTCTCACTATATTGCCCAGGCTGGTCTCGAACTCCTGGGCTCCAGTGGTGATCCTCCCACCTTGGCCTCCCAACGTGCTGAGATTACAGGCGTGAGCCACCGTGCCTGGCCAAGAATTCTTATCTTTAAGATACAAATTGAAATATTTAAGAATGAAATGATCTAGTACCTGAGATTTACTTCAAAAAAATAATCTTGTGGAGGAGTGCATTGGTACATAAATGAAACAAGATTGGGGCCGTAAGTTGATAATGGCTGAAAGTAGGTATTATGTTACCCTATTCTCTCTACTTTTGTGTATGCTTGAGAATTTTCACAACAAAATTTTTTTAAACAAGAATTGCGATAGGCTTTTTCTACCCAGGAATAACCCACCAGGTATGATACTCCACAACAAAGGGATCACATTCATCAGATTCGAGCTCTCCCCTGACAGCCTGCCAGAATTTGCTAAATGATGAGAGAATCCATATCTTCCTCCTCATAAACTCCATGATGGGAGCTGTCTCAAAATAACTACCCACCATAAGAAGTGGACTTGTTTTCATTTATGCTAAATGACCTCTCTCCAGTTCAGAAAGTCACACCCAAGGCCACAGTGACTTTATCCACATCTTTCAGAACGTACCTTTTTTTTGAGACAGAGTCTCGCTGTGTTGCCCAGGCTAGAGTGCAGTGGCACAATCTCAGCTCACTGCAACCTCAGCCTCCCGGGTTCAAGCAGTTGTCCTGCCTCAGCCTCCTGAATAGCTGGGATTACAGGTGCACGCCACCACACCCAGCTACTTTTTGCATTTTTAGTAGAGATGGGTTTTTGCCATGTTGGCCAGGGTGGTTTTCAACTCCTGACCTCAGGTGGTCCACCCACCTCGGCCTCCCAAAGTGCTGGGATTACAGGCGTGAGCTGCCGCGCCCGGCCAAGAACGTACATATTTTGATCGTGTTCCTCGGCCTCCGTCCTTCCCAGCAAAGCTGCCTGTTTTCCCCCTCAGGGAGCCAAGCTCCCCACTACCCACATCCATAAGAAGCAGGCTCTGAAAATCAAAGTGGTTTCCAAACCGCAGTCTCTGAGGAAGGCTTCATCCAGGTGTCTCCTGGGAGCCATACTCAAACCCAATCCCCTCTCAGACACGCCACTGCTTTTACAGGATCCCATGTGCCAGAAACCCTGAAAGATGGGCAGAAAAAGGCATAACCTCCAGGCTGCCCCACAGCTCCCGTAGAGCACGGTCAAGTCCAACATGATGATCACCACGCCCATTTCTCGAAAACGGAAATTGAAGTTGGAGCCTGGAGCACAGTTCTTGGGAACTACCAAGACTAGCTGGGAGTCTCCTAGTTCTGGGACTATATGGGACATCTGTCTCATGACTACCCTGGCTGGCACACCTCCCTGTCCCCTAATACGCAATATTTCCAAGTGGCCTGGAGAGAGCAGGAGGATGAAAAAGACCACTGGGTGGTCCCTGCAAGCCACACACAACCATTTCAACCCTTAAGGCTAAGAGCCAACAGTGTTATCTGCACAAGCCTGTCAATTACAGGTGCTGGGAAGATCGATGGATGGATCAAGCCTTCTGGGAGGAGAAGAAGGGGCCTGAGCCTGACCCCACCTTGTGATGAGAGGTGGTGGAAGGAAGAGCTCATCAAATGTAACGCCCAGCATGGAGTATGGGGGATGCTTAAGAGAGGCTGGCAGCTGCAGCCTGCTCCAGGCCTCCCGTGGCCACCAGCACCTGCAGAGCAAGGGTCAATAGTGCTTGCTGCACTCATTTCAGACGCTTAAAGAGACAAAGAAACTCCAGATACAGAGAGGGAAGCAAAGGTCACTTAGCACCATGATGAAATCAATCACTCTTTCTCCTTGGGTAGGTTAAGTCCATGGCCAAAGCCACCAGGATGGTTGGAGCGACAGAAGAACGGGATGAAGCCAGGGGCTAGGAAGGCCACCAATGTCTGCCTGCATTGCAGGCTCTTAAGAGCACAGTGCACTCAGGAAGAAATAAAGGACTCCATGGGCCTGGGGTACCCGGGTCCCAGCCAATCCCTCCCTGTCCCTATCCGGGTCCTTCCCTGGGCCTCACTGCACCTGCCCCCACCACCCACAGACTAGTTCTGCCCAGGCTCAAACCCACCTGGCTGCCCCCTTGGCCCATGCATGGCTGGTCTTGACTGCTACTGGTGGGGCTGTCACCACCGGACATCTGACCTTGGTCACCAGGAGCACAGGCTCAGGGAGAGAAGAGGGGGAACAGTTCCGATCAAACCCCCGTTACCTTTATGCAGCACTTTGTACCTTTCTGTCCTGTCTCCACTCACATGATCTGACTTGAGCCTCACAGCCCTTTGTGGTGAGGCAGAAACCGAGGTTCCCAGAGATGAAATCTACCATCACACCACAGTCAACAGATGAGCCAGGAAGAGAACTTCTCGCTCTCTGTGCAGGGGGCTTTTCCTCTCCACCCCCCAACCACCACCCATTCTATACTCAGAATCAGGAATTGGTCCCACGCATCTGCCTTTCTATCAAGCCCATTTTCCATTCCAGCCCTCAAAGCAGGCCCAGGCTGTCTCAGAGTTGACCTGTTCACCACCACTCTACAGATAAAATGCTGAAGGGCAGAAAACAGAAGGGAATCCAAGTCCAGGGGAAGATGGACTCAGGCCCTGGAACATTGCACTCCAGAGTTCCCATGGCAGCTTCT
Source organism: Homo sapiens (assembly GCF_000001405.40). Lineage (NCBI taxonomy): Eukaryota > Metazoa > Chordata > Mammalia > Primates > Hominidae > Homo > Homo sapiens. The sequence continues at coordinate 2,856,031 of NC_000017.11, read as the reverse complement.
TCTGCTAGACACACATGTCGCTGGCATCAGCCATTCCTAGACCACTTGCAGGATTTCCACTATATTTGTTAACACTTGTATTATTATTACTACTATTTCTATTAAATAGATTCACTTCAGCCGGGCACGGTGGCTCATGCCTGTAATCCCAGCACTTTGAGAGGCCGAGGCAGGTGGATCGCCTGAGCTCAGGAGTTTGAGACCACCCTGGGCAACATGGTGAAACCCCCGTCTCTACTAAAATACAAAAAATTAGCTGGGCGTGGTGGTGGGTACTTGTAGTCCCAGCTACTCCGGAGGCTGAGGCCCGAGAATTGTTTGAGCCCAGGAGGTGGAGGTTGCAGTGGGCCGAGATGGCGCCACTGTACTCCAGCTTGGGCTAACAGAGTGAGACTCCTCCTCAAAAATAAATAAATAAATAAATAAAATAGATTAATTCTTGTGACTTCATATGTTTAAAGAGATGTTTTATATCACTACCACAAATGGAAAAACATCAGTACCACTGGCCATTAACCAGGAGAGAATCCTAAAAATAAATGAAACAAAAACAAAAACAACCTAAGTTCTAGCCAGGCAACTGTTCCCCACTCAGAGGACCGGGAGCCGGAGGTCTGCTCTCTCTTAATTACAAAAGGAAGATTAGCAAGTGTTTAAAATGTGTTAAAGGCAGACTAGCATCCACCTGAAACTTCCCCTCAAAGAAATCACAAGGATTCGCAGAGAACTGAAAAGGGAAGAACTTTCTCACTAGGTGACTCAATGTTATTTCATGCTGAACCACCTTATGTCATTTTCACGGGAAATTCATTCTGTGCAGCGGGCAACATCTTGTTACACACATTATAGGAAGGGGGGACGAGAGGAATGGGGGACAACCCACCACAAGGGCAATCCATGCCAGCTTCTCAAAGTCCCCCGTATTCCCTGCCTACCACCACCCCAGGTACGTTCATACCTGTGGGCATATCCAGGGGCTGCTGGTCACCCCCAGGTGTCTCTGGTTCCACTGCCCGTGTCTTATAGGGTGCGGTATTAACCATTCCAAAACTCCTCTGGAAACTAGGATCCAGCAGGGTCACTGGAAGCTACCCCAAATCCTGATCCCGGCAACATCTCTGTGGGCAGTCAGCTTCCGCACTCCCCTCCCCCCATTGCTGGAGGCTCTGCCATGCACCCTAGCAGAACAGGGAGGCTTTGTGCCAACGACCTGCCTGGTAGCTCCTTGGGGTCTGGTGGATGTCAGACCTGCAGCTGCGGTTGCAGCCTAGAAAGCTTCCTCAGAACCTCCTTTGCCTACTCCAAACCCCACACCTCCCACCACACAGGTCGTCCAAAATGTCTCTGAAATAGCTAAAGAAAACTATTTTCAATATCCAGGAGCAAACGAAAGAACAAACGCCAGAAAGGCGAAGAGGCAAAGTCACCCTATGGCGGTGGGGCGAGAGGGTGGGTGGGGAGCGAACAACCTCCAAACTTGCTCCTCGCCTGCCGGCACCGAGCGCAGAGCAAGCGGATCTCGGCCAGGCAGGCACCTCGAGGGCTCAGCCAAGTTGCAGGAAGCAAATGGCAACACCGGCGCATGGAGCCGCCTGGGCTGGATCAATGGCATCCGCGGCTGCAGGCTTGGGGAACGGGGTCGCGGTCTGCAAAGGGTCTGGGGGCGACGGACTTGGGGTCCCTCCGTCAGGGATCCACCCCGATGCGCCCTCCCAGCGGCCCTCCGATTCCGCCAAGGTCCTGCCCAGGCTCCTCGCACCAGCCAGGGTCCGGGGCGAAGCTCCGAACTCGGTTCGCACGACGGTACCTGGAGAGGAGGCTTTTTTCTAACCAACACGGAACCAAACACCCATCGGAAAAGTCCACCCCAAAGAAAACTGGCATGCAGCAGGAGAGCGGAGGGAAGCGGCCGGCGCTGCAGGGGTTTACCTTTTCTCTTTATTCTGCCTCCGGGATTTGTGCAGGAGTCCGATGAGCACCACGGCGGCGCGGATCCCCGCCTTTCGGCAATGCCTCCTCCCCGCGGGCTGGGACATGGCGAGGCCGCCCGCGGTGCCCGACCTCGCCCGCCCGCGTCCCCGCAGCCCCGGCTCCGCGCGCTCCGCACCCGGCCCCTGAGCCCGCGCCCCGGCCCCCGGCCTCCGCCTCGCATGGGCCCCGCCCCGCCTAGGTGCGCCCCGGGGGTCAGGTGACCGCGCGCTCTCCCCTCCCTCCCGGCGACCTTCAGCGTCTCCTCGGGGCCCGCGGGGCAGCCGCCGTCCGCTCCCCCGGCGCGGGCATTTCCGAGGCTCGCTCGGGGCGCGGCCCGGGCCGGCGGCTCCCGGCTCCCGCTCAGACGCGCCGCCCGCGCCGGGACCCGCCCCGGCCCCGCCTCCCGCGCCCCGGCCTCGGCCGCCCGGATGGTGGAGGACGCGGGGCACAGGGAGCGGGCGAAGCGCAGGAGGAGGCGGACAGCGCTCCCGGGACCCCCCTGCCCGGCTCCCAGGCGCCCTCCCCGGCCCCGGCCCTGCCTCCCCTCGCCCGCTCCTTCTGGTCCCCGCCCGCACTCCCGCCGGCGGCCCCGAGCTCCCTCCCCAGGCAGAGGCGGCTGCCGCCCTCCCCGGCCCGGCCCCGGATACTTCCCCGATGCTGTCACTGCTTTTAAAACAGAGGGAGAGAAAACAGGCACCAAGAGGAAACGCGCGTCCTCCTCCGTCCAAACGAAACTGCCCGCGCGCGGTCCCCGTCCCCTCCCGGCCGCCCAGCGCTTACAGGGGGCACCTGAGCCCGGCGCCCGCCCCGGCTCGCAGCTCCCGGGCCCGGGTCCCCGGGTGGGAGCTTGCGGATGGGAGGAACGAGGCGGAATTCTGCCCCCGCCTCCCCGCAGAGTCGGCGCAAGGATCGCCGAGCTGGGATGCAGAGTGGGCTGGGGTCGGCTCCCCGCGAACACTGGCTCTCCCGGCCCTGGGAGTTTGACTCCACATGGGTTCAATAACCAACTTCACGGCGACCCCGCTTCCTCCTGGCGGGCCGGGCGCCCCCCACTCCGCCCTCCCCGCGCCCACCCGGGCCTGGCCGCTGCGCACTCGTCGCGTGGTCCCTCCCGCCCCTGCCAGCCGCGCGCGAGCCTCATCTCCTTCGGAAAGGAAGGGCGGAAGGTCGGAAGGTCGGAAGGTCGCGCCGGCTCCTGGGGAAAGGGCTGTGGCCTGGTCCCTACCATCGGCGCGGGGCCTCGCTCACAATCGCCCTCATCCACTTCCAGGTGCTGCCCAGCCTCCCAGCCCCCTCCCGCCTCACCCCTCCGAAGCATCACTCACAGCTTTGCCCCTCTAGGGAAAAGGAAGTGGGCAGGGGGCTGAAAGGAATTAGAACAAGCCAATTAGTCCATCTTTGGGGCCGAAGAGGTTCCCCCTGAGGCAATTTGCCTTGTTTTTTGTTGTTGTTTTGTTTTTTGTTTTGTTTTTAATAGTCTGGTGTTCAAGCAAACACAGAAAATCCAGGCAGGGAGGGGACCATGCTGGGTGGAGAGGGGAGAGGGACTGCAAACGAATTCGAGGGCCTGAGGCTTCAGCCCTGCCTCTCCAATGCCCACAGCTTCCTGCTGGCACTGGAGTTGGGGTGGAGGGGAGGAAGCCCCAGGGTGGTTCTTAAATGCACCTGGTCTATTTATGAAGCAGCCGTTACCACTGGCCTTGTGCCCCCCACCCCCACCCCCACCCCCTCCCTGCCGGGGTTGTGGGGGATCAGAGATATAGATAGCCATGGACATCTTTTTATAGCTAGAGATTTGAATGACCCGGGCCCCACTCCTGAGATTGGCGGTTAGGCAGGCTGCAAGTACTATGCCAGTAGTGACTTAAGAATTGGTCTGGAAAAAGAATAAAATGAGTGTCCTTGGTAGAGAAAAGGGAAGAGCTCCCAGCAGCATGCAACCCAGAGCTTCTCTTCCCCTCTCTCCCACCGCGCTATAGCACACAGCACCCGAGGACCCACAGGTTAGCTGATGGACCGCTTCAGTTAGATGGCAGGGAAGGTGATGAGGGCGCTGGCTTAGGTCTATCCTAGCGTTGGGTGTATTTTACCCACACACAGAAGGCTGCACCTCAACGGAAGGCCTGATCCTCCTTCCCAGCAGGTGAGAGTGTGGGAGCTAGTTCAGGTCAAGTGCACAGTGGGTAACAGGGTGGCTCACACCTGTAATCCCAGCACTTTGGAAGGCCGAGGCAGGCAGGTGGATCACTTGAGTTGAGACCAGGAGTTCTAGACCAGCCTGGGCAACATAGTGAGACCCCACCTCTCCAAACAACTACAACAGGGAATTGGGATGATGAAGGCACAAAATCCACCATGCAGGTTCCATTATTCATTCTCTTATTCTGGGGTTCCCAGCCCTCTAAGTCCTTCTACAAGCCCAGTGTCACTGCAAACACAAGGCTGTCCCCCAAAAAATCGTAACCTCTCAGCCCCTGACTCCTGAGTCTCTAAGAGGTAGAATTTTCCTGGCAGTGAGAGGTCCCATCCTTCTGCCCCTGCCCTACAAGCTCGCCACCTTTGGTGCATAAACAGCAATTTCCCCTCTTAACTCCCACTCCAGCCCCCACAGCCCATCACACCCACACCCCACAGAGGGGACCCCAAAGCACAAGAAAACCCATCAATAGCAGAGACTGGAACAACCATCAATGCTAGGCTTACCCATTCCACCAGCATTTATTAAACATGTACAGTATGTCCAGCTTTATGCAAGAGACCAGGGCAAGAAAGAAAAATGGAAGACCATCCCTGCCCGAAACAAACAGGGTTAACACACTCCAAACCTCAAAAGAAGACCATTTCCAGCCAGTGTGTGCAGTTAGCCCAGCCAAAGCTTCCCACAATTGGGCCACACGCCACCTCCTTCATAATTCTTTGTCTTAGTGTCATGCTGCTCTGCTGTTTATAATTTTGCTTTAATTACATCAACTTACTTTTTCACTTTTTTTTTTTTTTTTCTTGAGACGTTGTTTTGCTCGTCGCCCAGGCTGGAGTGCAATGGCACGGTCTTGGCTCACTGCAACCTCCACCTCCTGGGTTCAAGCGATTCTCCTGGCTCAGCCTCCTGAGTAGCTGGGACTACCGGCATTCGCCACCACATCGGGCTAATTTTGTATTTTTAGTAGAGACGGGGTTTCGCCATGTTGGCCAGGCTGATCTCGAACTCCTGACCTCAGGTGATCCGCCTGCCTTGGCCTCCCAAGTTCTGGGATTACAGGTGTGAGCCATCGCGCCTGGCCTTTACTTAATTTTTTTTTTTTTTTTTTTTTGAGGTGGAGTCTTGCTCCATCCCTCAGGCTGGAGTGCAGTGGCAAGATCTTGGCTCACTGCAACTTCCGCCAACCGGGTTCATGCCATTCCCCTGCCTCAGCCTCCCGAGTAGCTGGGATTACAGGCGCCCGCCACCATGCCCGGCTAGTTTTTTTTGTATTTTTAGTAGAGACGGGGTTTCACCGTGTTAGCCAGGATGGTCTCGATCTCCTGACCTCGTGATCCGCCCATCTTGGCCTCCCAAAGTGCTGGGATTACAGGCATGAGCCACAGCGCCCGGCTGCCTTTACTTAATTTTAAAAGAAAACGTTATTGCAACCCTAAATGAAAATCCATTATCACTTGCCCTTCCTACCATGAAAACAAACATAAATTTATTAAGTTCTGCCTCAATACTGTTGCCTGACAAAGGCTCTAAGCTTGAAGTACCTTCCTTAAAAAAGCAGGCGGGCCAGGCGCAGTGGCTCACGCCTGTAATCCCAGCACTTTGGGAGGCCGAGGCGGGCGGATCATGAGGTCAGGAGATCGAGACCATCCTGGCTAACATGGTGAAACCCCGTCTCTACTAAAAATACAAAAAATTAGCCGGGCGTGGTGGCGGGTGCCTGTAATCCCAGCTACTCGGGAGGCTGAGGCAGGGGAATGGCATGAACCCGGGAGGCAGAGGTTGCAGTGAACCGAGATCACACCACTGCACTCCAGCCTGGGCAACAGAGCGAGACTCCATCTCAAAAAAAAAAAAAAAAAAAGCAGGCAGTGTTAGGTGTTAGTGACACACCTGCGCCAAACCAAGGCACTGTTCTTGAAGAAATCACAGTTCGAAAGAGAACGGACAGGGAAGAATTTTCACATTACTCTGCTCCAAGGCCACATTCATGAGGCACTTTGGGGTGGGCTGAGAAAGCTGGATACATGCAGACCGCAGGAAATGAGGACGGCAGAAGTCTCTGACGGCAGAGAAGGGGTCTTCCTGCAGGTCTCACCTCACCCAACTTATGCCCCACGGCGTCCCAGCTCTCAGGACCTCCATGGCCTGTTCCAGCCTCCAAAGCTCACAGTCCCAGAGAACAAAGTGCCCGGCAGCTGCCAGCCCAGGTCTCTCTTCCAGTCCAGGGGAACTCCAAAGGCTGAGGGGGCCTGGGTGGGAATCAGGCCTGGGGCGGGAGACAGCGAAGTTAATCATGAACAGAGCGCAGACAGCTGCACAGCCCGTTCCTGAGGGGCCAGTGGGTTGAGGCAGACAGACACGCATGCCTGGCCCTGAAGAAAAGGGCCTTCTGTGCCTGGGAACCGGCTCCAGGAGACATATCCATGAGAAAGCGGGAATCAGCCCCAATCCCCGTGCCCCTCGTCAGAGAGCCAGCCTGCAGCAGACGCCACCTCGTCGCCCCACCCAGCCACCAACTCCCAGCGCCCCACTGCTGGGCAGAATGACTGCCACCGTTCTGGGCTGGGATTGGGGGTGGGTGGGGGCGAGGGGGGCCATGGAGCAAGGAGGGTGGGGCCTTTGATGAAAACCAGATGTCTTCAAACGCCTTGCCCCTCCCCTCCACGGGCAGGGTCCCAGCTATTCCATGGACCACACAACCTTTGGGACAACGCAAGGGTTATAAACAGAGCCTTGGACAGGACGGTCCAGCACCCCCGCTCTCTTCTGCCTTTGAGGGTACACACATACACACACCTGCTCTGGGATATCACTCTGAAGCCCGCTCGCACACAGCTGAACGCTCACACCTGTGCTAAGACACCTCCACTCTTGGCAGGTACATCAGCGCCCCCTGCTGGGCCACAGCACAGTTGCGTCTCTGGGATGCCCCCTTAGGAGGAAGACAGAGGAGGGGGAAGAGGGAGGCAGGAAGGCGTCGGGGGAAGGGAAAGATTGAAGTCATCTGAGGTCGGGAAGCAGTTTCTATTTTTGAAAAGTGAGAGCTGGGCCGGGTGCGGTGGCTCACGCCTGTAATCCCAACACTTTGGAAGGCCGTGGCAGGCGAATCACTTGAGGCCAGGAGTTCGAGACCAGCCTGGCCAACATGGTGAAACCCCGTCTCTACTAAAAATACGAAAATCATCCAGGCGTGGTGGCGGGCGCTTGGAATACCAGTTACTCGGGAGGCTGAGGAAGGAGAATTGCTGGAGCCCAGAGGCGGAGGTTGTAGTGAGCTGAGATCGTGCCACTGCACTCCAGCCTGGGGAACAGAGCAAGACTCTATCTCATAAATAAATAACTAATTAAAAAAAAAAAAAGAAGGAAAAGAGAGAGATGCAGGAAAACTCTCTGCCAACATACTGACTCTCCTCCCAGCTTCTAAAATCCCCTCACAGAACCCATGACCAGCCCCCAAGAGGTCCATCCCACCACAATAGGGTCGTTCCGTGATAAACGCAGGCCAGGACTCGGAGGCCTCAAAGACAAGCCTGGGAAACCTCAGCTCAGCCCAACTTTCCTGGGGCCACAGACGTCATATTAAGCAGAGGATCTAAACTGGCTCAGGTTTTGGAAACGGATCTCTGTGACTTGTGTGGCATTTCCAAGCTCCAAGGAAAGGAAACCACGCTGAGGAAACCCACAGATCCCACTCAGTGGCGGGCACCCTGCGCTCTGGTACCCAGAGCCATGAAGGTGGGGCCTGCAGTACGTGATGTCAATCAGAACCCTGCCGACTTCCTGTTCAGGGATTATGGAGAGTGGGTAGAGGGAGGAATAAAGAAGTTCTTCATATATCACTTGGGTTACTGAAGTTATTTAAAATACTTCCTTTTTTGAAGTTCATTTATGGATTTTTGAATTTTTGCTAAGCTGCATGACTACAGTAATTTTTCCCACAGTGAAAAAATTCAAAAGGATCCTTCTGTGTGTGAAATTTCTGACGAACAGGAAGAGGTGTTATTTTGCATAGAGGCCGCCCAGGAGTCAGTACAGAGAATCAGGAGCGGATGAGGCTGAGGGCTGGGTGGCCTACAGCACAGTCCCTCTCCAACCCAAGGTCCCCCGGCCCCCGCCTCACTGATTACCAAACCTCCCCAGCTGCTGCTACTCCTGAAGCCACTTCCACCTCTTCCAGAGTTTCTGAGGCTGAGTGGAAAAGCCGGGAGGGAAGCTGTCTTTCCATAATATTAGCAACATTGCTTAGCAACATCTTTCAAAGCGAGAACCAGCAGACTCTCCAAAACCCTATTCTGTTTGGCTCTACAGAGAACAGAGTGGTTTCTTATACATGTATTATTTATATACTATTTTATATATCCAGTAACGCCTTCTGTGCCTGGCTTCTCTGGGAGATGACGAATTACAACTATGTGAGATTTCCAGGCGACTAGGGCTTTGGGTAGCAAGACTTTTTGTTTGCTTCCTTGCTTGCTGTTAGTTACTGTAATGACCCTAGCTAGAGATTTCTCTCAAACGCCTCCAAATGCTGTTGTCCTTTAAAGACAGGTTTGATGCCGGGCGCGGTGGCTCACACCTGCAATCCCAGCACTTTGGGAGGCTGAGGCGGGTGGATCACGAGGTCAGGAGTTCGAGACCAGTCTGGCCAACATGGTGAAACCCCGTCTCTACTCAAAATACAAAAATTAGCCAGGCAACGTGGCGGGCGCCTGTAATCCCAGCTACTCGGGAGGCTGAGGCAGGAGAATCGCGTGAACCAGGGAGGTGGAGGTTGCAGTGAGCCGAGATCGCGCCACTGCACTCCAACCTGGGCGACAGAGCAAGACTCCGTCTCAAAAATAAACAGATAAAAATAAAGGCAGGTTTGATGGAATCTTTTTGTGGTGACTCAAATCCATTATTATCAACACTACCATTATTATCAACTACTATTGTGAGCTAAAATGCAGTTAGGAATTGACAGGCCATTGAGAGGAGATGCCCACTTGTCCCTAGGCTTAATGGCCCCAAACAGCTGTGGTGCAAAGACACTACAGTGAGGGAATAAAAATACATATGCTGCAGTCAGACGAACCTGGGTTAGAATCCTACCCCCAGCTTTTACTATGCATGCGGCCTTGGACTAGGAATTCACCCCCTCTGTGCCTCAGTGTCTTCATCTGTAAAATGGGAATAACAACAGTGCCAACCTATTAGCTACTGCAAGGATTCAGTGAACATGCATGCTCTACACAAAGACTTGCATGACAATGTTCATCACCATTTTATTCAAAATAGCCAAAGTTGGCCAGGCATGGTGGCTCATGCCTGTAATCCCAGCTACTCGGGAGGCTAAGGCAGGAGAATCACTTGAACCTGGGAGGCGGAGGTTGCAGTGAGCCGAGATTGCACCACTGCAGTCCAGCCTGAGTGACAGAGTGAGATTCCATCTCAAAAACAAAACAAAACAAAACAAACCGCCAAAGTCGGAAAGCAGCCCAAGTGTCCATCAACAAGCTGTGGTACATCCCCGCGGTGGAATACGACCCAATAATAAAGGGGAACAAAACATGGACACATGCAACAACAAGGAAGCACCTCAAAAGCAAGATCTAAGTGAAAGAAGCCAGACACCAAAAAATGCTTAAAATGCTTCAACGGGATTCCATTGATGAGAACTTTTTTTTTTTTTTTCAATTGAGACAGAGTCTCGCACTGTTGCCCAGGGTGGAGTGCAGTGGTGCAATCTCGGCTCACTACAACCTCCACCTCCCGGGTTCAAGCAATTCTCCAGTCTCAGCCTCCCAAGTAGCTGGGATTACAGGCTCCCAATACCACGCTCGACTAATTTTTTGTATTTTTAGTAGAGACTCGGTTTCACCATGTTGGTCCAGCTGGTCTCGAATTCCTCACCTCGGAATTCACCCGCCTTGGCCTCCGAAAGTGCTGGAATTACAGGCGTGAGCCACCACACCCGGCTGATAAGAAATTTTATTTTATTTTATTTTATTTATTTATTTTAAGACAGAGCCTCACTCTGTCACCCAGGTTAGAGTGTAGTGGTGCGACCTCGGCTCACCAAAACCTTCGCCTACAGGGTTCAAGCGATTCTCCTGCCTCAGCCTCCAGAGTAGCTGGGATTACAGGCGCCTACCACCACGCCCAACTAATTTTTGTATTTTGAGTAGAAATGGGGTTTCACCATGTTGGTCAGGCTGGTCTCGAACTCCTGACCTCATGATCCGCCCGCCTCAGCCTCTCAAAGTGCTGGGATTACAGGCGTGAGCCACCACACCCAGCTGATAAGAAGTTTTAAAACAATCTAAGATACAAAAACATTAGAACAATGGCTGCCTCTGGATGTGGGAGATTTTTCTGGACAGACAGAAATGTTCTATATCAGGATGGAAGAAGGATCCATTTGTCCAAAATGTATAATGAAGATTTGTGCATTTACATGCCTGTAATCCCAGCACTTTGGGAGGCCAAGGCAGGTGGATCACTTGAGGTCAGGAGTTCAAGACCAGTCTGGCCAATATGGTGAAACCCCGTCTCTAGTAAAAATACAAAAATTAGCTGGGCGTGGTGGTGGGCGCCTGTAATCCCAGCTACTCTGGAGACTGAGGCAGGAGAATCACTTGAACCCGGGAGGCAGAGGTTGCAGTCAGCTGAGATCATGCAACTGCACTCCAGCGTGAGCAACAGAGTGAGACTCCGTCTCAAAACAAAAAACAACAACAAAAAAAGACTGAGGCACTGCTGGGTGCCTCTGGGCTAGAACTTATGTAGTCAGTGCCATACATGTGCAGGGATGAGGGTACTAGGCACAGTGTGCAGGCCGGGACCAGATGAGGCGGGGACACTGATTCTTTCATTCAACCTCCTGGGGACCACCCCGTGGACTGCAGAAACTGGCAGGGGTTGGTTGCCAGCTCACACGCCTGACTAACTAGAAAACTTATAGGTTGGGGACCCTTTTACCCGACTCCTAATAAATTCTAATTTATTTCCCTGTTGTCTGAATTCATCTCTTTCTCCTCTATCAGTCCCTGAAGAGAACTCTGGGTTGGGTCCAGGGGAAAATGCCCCTCTTTGTGGGTGTAATCAAAGACTTTCCGGCTTGGCTTAGCCAACGACAGTTTCCTTCGTGACAGAAGGAAGGACAACAGTTTCCTTCTGGACTCTGAGTCACTGATGTGTTAATGATCCTTCCCACCCCGACATTAAGTCCTTTTAGCCTAAAAGGTAAACACAAAGCTCATCTTCCCTAGGTGTTGACACAGACTCCCAGAGCTTCACCCAGCCGGGAGCTGAGCTCCAAACCTCCTGCTGAGCAACTGCAGGTCTGCAATGTGCAAGCTTTCCACCAGGCCTGCTTTCTGGGGCTTTTCCACCCCCTTTCCATAAGGAAAATCCTTCCAGCTGTCTAGCCTCCATCACTCCTGTTGTAATCAAAGCTCTTTCGTGTAAGCAACTCCCTCTCTACTCTTAGGGGAAAAAAATTCAGTTCCCACTCTCTGAACCCTCCAAGTCCCAAAGCAGCTTCAGAAACCGCGCTGGCCGGCCGGGCGCAGTGGCTCATGCCTGTAATCCCAGCACTTTGGGAGGCCGAGGCGGGCAGATCACGAGGTCAGGGGATCAAGACCATCCTGGTTAAAATGGCGAAACACCATCTCTACTAAAAATACAAAATATTAGCCAGGCATGGTGGCGGGCGCCTGTAGTCCCAGCTACTCCGGAGGCTGAGGCAGGAGAATGGCGTGAACCCAGGAGGCAGAGCTTGCAGTGAGCCGAGATCGAGCCACTGCACTCCAGCCTGGGCGACACAGCAAGACTCCGTCTCAAAAAATAAATAAATAAAAATAAAAATAAAAAAAAGCGCGCCGGCCATCTTCCTTTTACCCAACGCTCCAAACTCTTTGCTTCTGTCCATTTCCTCCACCCCCGCCCCCAACCCCTCGCTCACTGTACCCACAAGGCAGAATCAGGGGCTCTGTGGGTCACAAATGATGGATCACAGCTGATAACTAAAGGACTTAAGTGTGCCAATCACGTCCTCCCAATCACAGGGGGAAAGATGTTGCCCAGGCAAGGCCAGTAGTGACCTTCACGTGGCCCCATGTCAGCAATAAGAAGTACACTCAGCATGACTCTGGGAAGGCGAAGCTCTTGTCTTTCTTGGAGAACCTGGACGGAAACCATCTCAGCCCCACCCCGCCCCACCCTGCAAGGTAGTGGGAGGCAGGAGACTTTATTAATGATGCAATGTAACTGAACCACCAAATGGGGAAATTGGGCCGGGCACGGTGGCTCACACCTGTAATCCCAGCACTTTGGGAGGCTGAGGTGGGTGGATCACTTGAGGTCAGGAGTTCGAGACCAGCCTGGCTAACATGGTGAAACCCCGTCTCTACTAAAAATACAAAAAAGTAGTCAGTCATGGTGGCATGCACCTGTAATCCCAGCTACTCAAGAGGCTGAGGCAGGAAAATAGCTTGAACCCAGGAGGTGGAGGTTGCCGTGAGCCGAGATCGCGCCACTGCACTCCAGCCTGGGCGACAGAGCGAGACACCATTAAAAAAAAAAAAAAAGGGAAATTAACTGAGTTGTTTCTCCACCATAGACCTATCCCAAAAGCATGTTGCCTCCCAGAGAGGGCTTCCTTGACCACTCACCTGCAGGACACACCCTTAGTGATTCTGCACCTAGCCGCTGGCTTGTTTTCTTCATGTATTATTCCAGGTTGAGGTTTTGGGTTTTTTGTTGTTGCTGATTTGTCTGTGTGCTTGTTTTCTTGTCTATTTGCCCCACACCAGCCCCCGGTGGAATGTATACTCCACGGAGGCAGACACCGTGTACACCTTAGTCATCGCCCTACCCCACACTCAGGATGGCGTCTGCTCTACGCTAGCCCTCAATAAATACCATGGAAAGAAAAGAAGGGGAAAGACGGAAGGGAGGAAGAGAGAGAAAAGAAGGAGGATTCCATGTTCTGGAGCCTCAGCTTCCTCTGCCCCAGAAAAACTTTCCCAGGCTTTTGACTTGACAGAATTGGATTGGCTGGAGGGGAGGAGAGGGTGGGACAGCGAGGTCTCAGGATGGAGACCCACCTTCGGCCCTGACACTGGAGGCATAAACTCAGATGGGCGTCTAAAGGATGCTCACACCCAGAGCCTCACACCACCAGCCTGCCAAGGAAAGGTGTCAAAGCAGTGGCTCGACTCAAAGGTCTCTCTTAGGGCACCCACGGCTTTTAGGCAACTCTAGGGAGGGGAGGGCTCCAAAACTACTGTATTTCATGCCATTCCTAGAGGGTAGTAAAAGTGGTATTTTTTTTTTTTTTTTTTTTTTTGAGACGGAATCTCGCTCTGTCACCCAGGCTGGAGTGCAGTAGCGCGATCTCGGCTCACTGCAACCTCTGCCTCCCGGATTCAAGCAATTCTCCTGCCTCAGCCTCCCAAGTAGCTGGGATTACAGGCATGTGCCACCACGCCTGGCTAATTTTTGTATTTTTGTTAGAGACAGGGTTTCACCATGTTGGCCAGGCTGGTCTCGAACTCCTGACCTCAGGTGACCTGCCTGCCTCGCCCTCCCAAAGTGCATGAGCCACCACACACCTGGCTAGCCCATATTTTTAAAAGACTTTTTAGAAAAATAAAGGAGTGTAACTTGTTTCACATCCAAAGGTGTGAGGTCAAATATTCACCTATTACCCAAGCGTGGGCCCTGACCAGCTGGTGACCTGGACAGGTCTCTTCCCCTGAGTGATGAGAATGACAAGGACCCCAATACTCCCCCAGGTTGTGGAGGAAACTAGATAACATGGGCGGAAGGACCCAGTACCTGGCACCGCCTTTCAGACCCTGAGCTGTAGAGAGGGTTGAGGCTTGCACGCCACAGGGCCAGTTGCACAGGCAGCTGCCACAGCCTGCCTGACCCAGGTCTCCTCACCTGCCTGCCAGAAACTGCTGGGAATGCTGTGGGGTCAGGAGGAGCCCGAGAGAAGGGAGGGAGGAAAAGCCGTGACCCCAGGGAGTCATCACACCCGTCCCTGGGGTAGCCATGGCCCCTCTGCGCTGTGTCTGAGACTTCTCAGAGGCTACATCAGTCACTTCCTGTTCCTTGTCTTAAGGGGATTTGGGAAACAGGCCAGGAGATGACACTGAGCCCCAGCCATTTTCCCAGACCATACTCTCAACATCTTCCTGCCTTCAGCATTTCTCTGACATCTACCATTCCAGGGTGGCTTTCCTGCTTTTTAAAATGTCCCCAAATCGGCCGGGCACGGTGGCTCACGCCTGTAATCCCAGCACTTTCCGAGGCCGAGGCAGGCAGATCACAAGGTCAGGAGATTGAGACCATCCTGGCTAACAAGGTGAAACCCCATCTCTACTAAAAATACAAAAAAAAATTAGCCGCGTGTGGTGGCGGGCGCCTGTAGTCCCAGCTACTCAGGAGGCTGAGGCAGGAGAATGGCGTGAACCTGGGAGGTGGAGGTTGCAGTGAGCCGAGTTCGTGCCACTGCACTCCAGCCTGGGCGACAGAGCAAGACTCCGTCTCAAAAAAAAAAAAAAAAAATTCCCCATATCTCTTGTAACTTTTCTCTCTACTTAATATTTTTCTTTAAATGGACTTAATTTTTAAATTAAATACTGAAAAGACTTCATGTTTTATAAATTAATATTATAAAGACTTCATGTTTTTTATTGTTTGTTTGTTTGTTTTTGAGACAGACTTTAGCTCTTCTTGCCCAGGCTGGAGTGCAGTGGCGCAATCTCGGCTCACTGCAACCTCTGCCTCCCAGGTTCGAGCGATTCTCCTGCCTCAGCTTCCCAAGCAGCTGGAATTACAGGCGTGAGCCACCACACCGGTCTTTTTATTTTTTAAACAGGGTCTCACCCTGTCACCCAGGCTGGAGTGCAGTGGCGCAATCTCGGCTCACTGCAGCCTCCACCTCCCGGGCTCAAGCAATCCTCCTACCTCAGCCTCCTGAGTAACTGGGACTACAGGCCCAGGCCACCACACCCAGCTAATTTTTGTATTTTTTGTAGAGACAGGGTGTCACCATATTGGCCAGGCTGGTCTCGAACTCCTGGCCTCAAGCAATCCACTCACTTCAGCCTCCCAAAGTGCTGGGATTACAGGCGTGAGCCACGGTGCCCAGCCAAGACTTTATGTTCACATCATAAATGGATATAATCATTTCTCATAAATAGAAGGTAAAGTAAATATAAGCCAGGCATGATGGCTCATGCCTGTAGTCCCAGCTACTCAGGAGGCTAAGGCAGGAGATCAAGTTGAGCCCAGGAGTTTGAGCCCAGCCTGGGAAACATAGCGAAAAAAGAAAAGAAAGAAAATATAATGCCCTGCTCCTTAGATGTGAACAGTATACTACGGATGGAAGAAAATAAAGAATAACAGCCGGGCACTGTGGCTCACGCCTGTAATCCCAACACTTTGGGAGGCCAAGGTGGGCGGATCACCTGAGGTCAGGAGTTTGAGACCAGCCTGGCCAATGTGGTGAAACCCACCTCTACTAAAAATACAAAAATTAGCTGGGTGTTGTGGTGGGCGCCTGTAATCCCAGCTACTCGGGAGGCTGAGGCAGGAGAATCGCTTGAATCCAGGAGGTGGGGGTCGCAGTGAACCGAGATCGCGCCACCGCACTCCAGTGACACTGGAGTGAGATGGAGTGAGACTCCATCTCAATCAATCAATAAAAATTTAAAAATAAAGAATAACTTTACAATGGAGACATCTGACAAAACACTATCTCAGCCAGGTGACCAAGGCCAACATCAACAGTGGTTATCAGGATGTGACGAAAATGGTTCTGCCGGGTGCGAACCTGAGGTTGGGAGTTTGAGACCAGCCTGACCAACATGGTGAAACCCCGTTTCTACTAAAAATACAAAAATAGCTGGGCGTGGTGGCGCATGCCTGTAATCCCAGCTACTCCGGAGGCTGAGGCAGGAGAATCACTTGAACCCAGGAGGCGGAGGTTGCAGTGAGCCGAGATCACGCATTGCACTCCAGCCTGGGCAACAAGAGCAAAACTCCGTCTCAAAAAAAATTAAAAAAAGAAAAATGGTTCTATACCTGGTCTATACCTGGGTAGTCATCCTCTCAAAAACCAATACCCAGTCTAATCATGAGAAAAATATGAGACAAATCTAAATTGAGTGACAAGCACGCCTCAAAGCTGTCAGGGCTGCCAAAAACAAGCAAAGTCTGAGAAACAGTCACAGCCAAGAGGAGTCTAAGGAGCTGTGAAAACTAAATGTAATGTGGTTCCTGGAACAGAAAAGGACATTAGGGAAAAACTCTAAAATCTGAATAAACCATGCATTTCAGTTATTAATGATCATACATCAGTCTAGGTTCATTAATTATAGCAAATGGACCATATTAATGTTAATTATAGCAAATGGACCACACTAATGTTAATTATAGCAAATGGATCGTACTAATGTAAGTTGTAGGGAACTGGATTATAGAGCCTATGGGGACTCTCTGTACTCTTAATTTTTCTGTAATTTTATTTATTTTTTATTCTTTTTTTTTTTATTATTAAGACAGAGTCTCACTGTGTTGCCCAGGCTGGAGTGCAGTGGCGTGACCTCGGCTCACTGGTTCACTCAACCTCTGCCTCCTGGGTTCAAGTGATTCTCCTGCCTCAGCCTCCCGAGCAGCTGGGATTACAGGCGTCCGCCACCATGTCCTGCTAATTTTTGTATTTTTAGTAGAGACAGGGTTTCACCATGTTGGCCAGGCTGGTCTCAAACTTCTGACCTTAAGTGATCCACCTGCCTTGGCCTCCAAAAGTGCTGGGATTACAGGCCTGAGCCACCACACTTGGCCTTTTCTATAATTTTTAAACCTTAAAAAAAAATGTCTACCAGAAAAAAGGTAAATATAATGAAAATTGAATAATGTTATTACAGTCTGCTAAACACTGTCGCCTGCCCAAGGCCTGAGGCTTGAGACCCACTCTCTCTGTTAATAAGGAAGGTTAGCAAATGTTAGAAAGGTGTTAAAGACATATATTAGCCCCTAACTGAGACATTCTCCTTGAAGTGATGAGCTGCACAGAAAGAGAACTGCAAAGGGAATAAACAGCTTTCTCTCCGGGGATCAGTTTCGGGGAATGCTGTGTCCCGTCCTCTTACCACCAAATGTCATCTCCCCCGGTTACAATTTCGGAATCACTGCGCCAATTCATCCAATTCCACCCGCCTCCCTTCCTCATCTGGAGCTCGGAGAATGAGCAAAGGGTTCCCGCAGTGGGACAGTGTTCTGCCCCATGCTATGTTCATCTGTGGAAGAATCACCCCACACATCCCGAGGGGTCAACAACCCAGTACAGGTCACCATCCCAGTACAGGTCACCATCCCAACTCTCCAAAGAGCAAGTCCAAGGACAGGCCCTGCTCACCCTGGAGCAGAAGAATCACCTTGCAGGGCAGCACACACCACCCCCTGGGTTCAGCATGTCGCCAGCTGCCTGCACTTCCACACCTACCACTCCACTGGATCCTGTCAGCCCCATCAAGAAGGAACACAAGGCCGGGCGCCGTGGCTCACACCTGTAATCCCAGCACTTTGGGAGGCCGAGGCGGGCGGATCACAAGATCAGGAGTTCAAGACCAGCCTGACCAACATGGTGAAACCCCACCTCTACTAAAAATACAAAAAATTAGCTGGATGCAGTGGTGGGCGCCTGTAATCGCAGTTACTCAGGAGGCTGAGGCAGGAGAATTGCTTGAACCTGGGAGGCGGAGGTTGCAGTGAGCCGAGATCGCACCACCGCACTCCAGCCTGGGTGATAAGGCGAGACTCTGTCTCAAAAAAAAAAAAAAAAAAAAGGAAAAAAGAAAGAACATGAACATCATACTCCTTTCCAGATGAGTAAACCGAAACCTAGAAAGGCTAACTCTTCTGTCCAGGATCACACAGCCACTAAGAAGCAGGGCTGAGACCGGGTGCGGTGGCTCACCCCTGTAATCCCAGCACTTTGGGAGGCCAAGGCAGACAGATCACAAGGTCAGGGGATCGAGACCATCCTGGCTAACACGGCGAAACCCCGTCTCAGCTAAAAATACAAAAAAATAGCCGGACATGGTGGCAGGCACCTGTAGTCCCAGCTACTCAGGAGGCTGAGGCAGAAGAATGGCGTGAACCCGGGAGGCAGAGCTTGCAGTGAGCCAAGGTCACGCCACTGCACTCCAGCCTGGGCAACTGAGTGAGACTCCATCTCAAAAAAAAAAAAAAAAAGAAGCAGGGCTGACACCCTGACACAGATGGTCCTGTGGACACTGACTTCCGCCAAATCCAAAATGAAGAGGAATGGAGCCCCAGGAAACGAGGAGCTGACTCGGCCAGAGACTCCCGATGCCCATCACCAGACGAAGCGGAATATGCCTTTCTGCCTGCTCCGTGCCCAGGCCCCTTCCTCTAGCTGACAGTACCTTGATGCTCCCCTGGGGAGCACTCTGACACCACTGTTGGTTTTTGTGGTTTATACGGGGCTGCCCCTTTCTCAACCTACCCAGCCTGAGCTTTGGGGTAGGTACACGATGCAGGCTTGGCCAATTCAAATTCAAATTCATGCTTTTTTTTTTTTTTTTTCCAGAGACAGAGTCTTGCTCTGTCACCCAGGCTGGAGTGCAGTGGCGCAATCATAGCTTACTGCAGCCTCAACCTCCTGGGTGTAAGCAATCCTCCAGCCCCAGCCTCCTGGGTGTCTAGGACTACAGGTGTGCACCACCATGCTTAGTTAATTTTTTAATTTTTTGTAGTGACAGGGTCTCACCTTGTTGCCCACACTGGTCTTGAACTCCTGGCCTCAAGTGATCCTCCTGTCTTGGCATCCCAAAGTGCTGGGATGACAGGTGTGAGCCACCGTTACTGGCCTCAATTCATGTACTCTATTCACCAATCCACTACGATTGCTTCAGGAATGGGCACACACCTCGTCAGTCCAAACAGAGTGAACACCAAATTTTTACAGGTGCTATAGAAGGAAGCAGCTTAATCATACCTACTGAGATTTTCAAAGCTCACACTAGAGCTGCCAGTGGCTGCCTTATAACATGTGGGGAGAGGTGCCTGTGAATGAAATAAATGCAGGAATTAGAGCCAAGAGATAGGTACAAATAGATGGTCCGATGATGCTGTCTCACCCACCTGGATCTAGCTGGACCTGAAGCCAGTTTTTTGTTTGCTTGTTGTTTTGTTTTGTTTTGTTTTTGAGACTGAGTCTCGCTGTATCACCCAGGCTGGAGTGCAGTGACGTGATCTCAGCTCACTGCAACCTCCGCCTCCCAGGTCCAAGCGATTCTCGTACCTCAGCCTTTTGAGGAGCTGGGATTGCAGTTGCCCGCCACCATGCCCAGCTGATTTTTGTGTTTTTAAGAGAGATGGGGTCTCACCATGTTGGTCAGGATGATCTTGAACTCCTGACCTCAGGTGATCCGCCTGCCTTGGCCTCCCCAAGTCCTGAGATTACAGGTGTGAGCCACTGCACCCGGCCAAAGCCAGGTTCCTTAAACTTACCAATTACAAAAGTTTTCATGGACTTTGTTTTTCCTTTTGGTTTCTTTTTTTTTTTCTTAAGCCAGTTTGAGTAAGGTTTCTGTCACTAGTAACCTAGTTAGTGAACATAGTAGACCTCTACCCAACCGGCAAGGAAACACAGGAGGGAACAAAATAACAGCTTCAGGCAAGGGGGACGACCACACCACTCATTCTCCCACAGGGAGCACCCCCCGAAGGCGACATGGGGACAACTTCCCAGGAGAAGCCCCTGGACCTACCTCCTAACACCCAGATGCACCAACACACCCCGCCAGTGCCAGATGCACCAACACACCCCGCCAGTGGCTGGCTGGGGGCGGTCTGCGCACAGTCCTCTCAACCACACCCAAGGAAAAGGCAGGGCTGGCACAAATCTGGCCCCAGCAGATAAAACAGGAGTGTCTCCCTTCCTCTTCACTGTCAGCACACAAGCTACTCATTTCATCTTTCTTCCGTAAAATCAAGGACTATTCCAGGAAAATGTTGGGGAATAAAAAAAGGAAGCATTCAGATAAATCCAAAATGTGAGACGTTCTACTAAACAACTTTGCCAGGTCTGCTGTTCTATATTTATTTATAGACAGGGTCACACTCTGGAATGCACCCAGGCTGGAATGCAGTGGTGCGATCATAGCTCACTGCAGCCTCAAACTCCTGGGCTCCAATGATCCTCCCACCTCAGCCTCCTGAATAGCTGGAAGTACAGTTCACCACACCCAGCTCTGTTCTGTATTTAAAGAGACAAAAGAGATGTGACAACCACGGACAATGAGTGACCATTAACAACAAGTTTGTGGTGGCTCACGCCTGTAATTCCAGCACTGTGGGAGGCTGAGGCAGGCGGATCACCTGAGGTCAGGAGTTCGAGACCATCCTGGCCAACATGGTGAAACCCCATCTCTACTAAAAATACAAAAAATTAACAGGGTGTGGTGGCGCACACCTGTAATCCCAGCTACTCAGGAGGCTGAGGCAGGAGAATCGCTTGAACCCGTGAGGTGGAGTTTGCAGTGAGCCAAGATCGTGCCAATGCACTCCAGCCTGGGTGACAGAGCGAGACTCCATCTCAGAAAAATTAATTAATGGCAGAGTGCAGTGGCTCATGCCTGTAATTTCAGCACTTTGGGAGGCCAAGGCAGGTGGATCACAAGGTCAGGAGATCGAGACCATCCTGGCTAACACGGTGAATCCCTGTCTCTACTAAAAATACAAAAAAAAATTAGCCAGGTGTGGTGGCGGGCGCCTGTAGTCCCAGCTACTTGGGAGGCTGAGGCAGGAGAATGGCATGAACCTGGGAGGTGGAGTGTGCAGTGAGGAGAGATCACGCCACTGCACTCCAGCCTAGGCAACAGAGCGAGACTCCATCTCAAAAAATAATAATAATAATTAATTAATTTAATTTATTTTAATTTAAATAAAGGTCAGGTGGATGGTGAAGGATTCAGTGGTATAGTAAATGGGGTAGGAACTGAGGCAGAGGACCAGATGAGATGGTCCTTTCTTTTTTTTGAGACAGGGTCTCACTCTGTCACCCAGGCTGGAGTACAGTGATGAGATCACAGCTCCCTACAGCCTCAACCTCGTGGGCTCAAGCAGTCCTCCCACTTCAGCCTCCTGAGTAGCTGAGACTACAAGCACCTGCCACCATGCCCAGCTAATTTTTGTATTTTTTGTAGAGATGGGGTTTTGCCACGTTGCCCAAGCTGGTCTTAAACTCCTGGGCTCGAGCCATCTGCCCACCCCAGCTTCCCAAAGTGCTGGGATTACAGGTGTGAGATACCACCTCGACCAAGATGGTCCTTCCTCTCTTGAAGTTATTTCTCAGGAGGTGGGTGTAGGTGACAGAAACTGTCTCCAAGGTCAATCCTCTTCCCACCCAACTGCCAGACTCTAGGTCTCTCAAGGGACCCAGTTCTTAGAACTTGTTCCTGGGTTTGAGATTGGCAGACAAAACCCCTGAACTAGCACAAGGGGAATTGGCTGGCTCAGCTCCTTCAGCAAGGGAAATGCATTTGAGCTTTAAGCTGTGGCTTCCCCCAGGGGCCCTCAGGGCAGAACTTACATCTTAAGAACTGGGATAGGATGAAAATCTAAAGCCAGCCTCTTAAGATGGGTCTGGGGAAGTCAGTGTGGTCAATCCCACAGCCAACTCTCTAGCCACCTCTCTGGTCAGTAAAGCCCTCTGGAGGGCTTTTGAAAAGGAGAAGGTCGAGGTTATTCTCAGCAAAAGACCATGCTGCAAAGACACCAGGCGGGTGCAGGAACTTCAGAGGCCGAGAGTCCACCTGACTTACGGAGGACAGTGCTTCTCTGGGCGGAGGGTACAGCACGCAGGACACAGCCAGAGCTGCTCAGAGGGCTGGAAATCAGGGAATGCAACCACAGCAAGGAGACAGGATGCTTCACCCAACAGACAAGCAACATGTACACTCCTACTAGTGGCATAGAAATTGGCAGGCAATTTGCAGTATGATGAAATAGAAAGTCACCTACCCTATCACCCAGCAATCTCACATCTAGGATTCACTCAAGTCTAGAGAAACACTTTCATGTGTAGACAGTCAACTATGAGGATGTCCACTGTGGCACTTTTCTTTTTTTTTTTTTTTTTTTTTTGAGACGGAGTCTCGCTGTGTCTCCCAGGTTGGAGTGCAGTGGCGAGATCTCGGCTCACTGCAAGCTCCGCCTCCCAGGTTCATGCCATTCTCCTGCCTCAGCCTCCCAAGTAGCTGGGACTACAGGCGCCCGCCAACACACCCGGCTCATTTTTTGTATTTTTAGTAGAAACGGGGTTTCACCGTGTTAGCCAAGATGGTCTCGATCTCCTGACCTCGGCACTTTTCATAAGAGTAAAAACATACCAAGAACAGGCCAGGCGCGGTGGCTCACCCCTGTAATCCCAACACTTTGGGAGGCTGAGGCGGGTGGATCACCTGAGGTCAGGAGTTCAAGACCAGCCTGGCCAACATGGTGAAACCTCATCTCTACTAAATACAAAAATCAGGCATGGTGGTGTGTGCCTGTAATCCCAGCTACCCGGGAGGCTGAGGCAGGAGAATCGCTTGAACCCAGGAGGCAGAGGTTGCAGTGAACCGAGATTGCACCACTGCACTCCAGCCTGGGAGACAGAGCAAGACTCCATCTAAAAAAAAAAAAAAAATTATCAAGAACAACCATTTACAGGAGAAACAGATAAGCAGGGTGTGGTATATTTGTAAGCTGGACCCTAAACTGTGATTAGAAGGAATGAGCTAACTGTGTATGTATGGACATTGATGGTTACTTAAGGTACATGTAAAAATACTGGTTTGTTTTTGTTTTCGTTTTTTTGAGACAGTCTTGCTCTGTGACCCGGGCTGGAGTGCAGTGGTGCGATCTCGCTCATTGCAACCTCTGCCTCCCAAGTTCCAGCAAGTCTCCTGCCTCAGCCCCCCACCGAGTAGCTGGGACTACACGCAAGTGCCACCACGCCCAGCTACTTTTTGTATTTTTAGTAGAGATGGGGTTTCACCATGTTGGCCAGGCTGGACTCGAATTCCTGACCTCGAGCCATCGCCCGCCTCGGCCTCCCAAAGTGCTGGGATTACAGGAGTGAGTCAATGCACCTGGCCAGCCACTGCACCCAGCCCTGTTTAAATATCTAGAAAAGTATGTACCAAACTCTGAACAGTGGCTACTCTGGGGAGGAGAGAAAGGGAATGTCACTGCTGGCCATAGGAGACTTTATCTTTTTTTTTTTTTTTTTTTTGAGATGGAGTCTCGCTCTGTCGCCCAGGCTGGAGTGCAGTGGCGCGATCTCGGCTCACTGCAACCTCCACCTCCTGGGTTCACGCCATTCTCCTGCCTCAGCCTCCCGAGTAGCTGGGACTACAGGTGCCCGCCACAACACCTGGGTAATTTTTTGTATTTTTAGTAGAGATGGGGTTTCACCGTTTTAGCCAGGATGATCTCGATCTCCTGACCTCGTGATCCACCCACCTTGGCCTCCCAAAGTGCTGGGATTACAGGCATGAGCCACCGCGCCCGGCCGAGACTTTATCTTTAATGTTCTGATTGTTTTAAGGAAAATGATTTGGGTTTTTTTGTTTTCTTTTTTTTTTTGGAGACAGAGTCTCACTCTGTCACCCAGACTGGAATGCAATGGCGTGATCTCAGCTCATTGCAAACTCCACCTCCCAGGTTCAAGTGATTCTCCTGCCTCAGCCTCCCGAGTAGCTGGGATTACAGGCACCCACCACCAAGCCCATCTAATTTTTGTATTTTTAGTAGAGACAGGGTTTCGCCATATTGGGCAGGCTGGTCTCGAACTCCTAACCTCGTGATCCGCCCGCCTCAGCCTCCCAAAGTGCTGGGATTAAAAGCGTGAGCCACCACGCCCAGCCTGTTTTTTGTGTTGTTGTTGTTGTTTTTTGAGACAGGGTCTCACTCTGTCACCCAGCCTGGATTGCAATGGCATGATCACAGCTCATGGCAGCCTCAAACTCCTGGGCTCAAGGGATCCTCCAACCTCAGCCTCCCCAGTACCTGGGATTACAGGTGTGCACCACCACATCTAATTTTTTTTATTTTTAGTAGAGATGAGGTTTTGTCATGCTGCCCCCCCACCAGGCTGGTCTCAAACTCCTGGGCTCAAGCAATCCACACACGTTGGCCTCCTACGGTCCTGGGATTACAGGCATGAGCCACCATGCACAGCCAAAAATGTATTCTTATATTACTTACGTTATACAAAATTAAATTTCTGAAAGGAATCATCAGTCTCTAAAATTAAATCCACACCGTTAAATACTACACAGTTATTTTTAAAAGGAATGGGGCAGAGGCAGCAGCAGCTCTCAGTGGTCAGACAGGAATTCTCCAGAGAAAAAGGCAAGATGTAAAACAGTGTTTTGTAGGATATTACCTTTTATTTAAGAAAAAGAAATAGGAGGCTGGGCATGGTGGCTCACACCTGTAATCCCAGCATTTTGGGAGGCTGGAGCAGGCAGATCACCTGAGGTCAGGAGTTCAAGACCAGCCTGGCCAATGTAGTGAAATCCCATCTCTACTAAAAATACAAAAAGTAGCTGGGCGTGGTGGCAGGTGCCTGTAGTCCCAACTACTCGGGAGGCTAAGGCAGGAGAATCCTTGAACCCGGGAGGCAGAGGTTGCAGTGAGCCGAGATCACACCACTGCACTCCAGCCTGGCAACAGAGCAAGACTCCATCTCAAAAAAAGAAAGAAAGAAAAAGAAAGAGGGAAGGGGAGAGGAAGGAAGGGCAGGGGAGGGAGGGGAAGGAAAGGGAGGGGAGAGGAGGGGAGGGGAGGGAAGTGGAGGGAAGGGTAGGGGAAGGGAGGGAAGGGGAGGGGAGGGGAAGGGAGGGAAGGGGAGTGGAGGTAAGAAAAGGATATGCTCATCTTACATGTGAATAAAGAAGCACTGGAAAGAACCTCAAAGTGAATTTTAGAATGTAGGGACAGGGCGGATTGGAGTACAAGCAAATCTTTCTACCACATATATTTTTATATCATTTTGGTTTTAGAACCAACCATGTAAATACATTTACTGTTCAAAATCTTTTTTTTAGTTTTTGTTTTGTTTTGTTTTGTTTTGAGACAGAGTCTCATTCTGTCGCCCAGGCTGGAGTGCAGTGGTGTGATCTCGGCTCACTGCAACTTCCGCCTCCCAGGTTCAAGCGATTCTCCTGCCTCAGCTTCCTGAGTAGCTGGGACTACAGGCGCCCGCCACCACGCCCAGCTAATTTTTGTATTTTTAGTAGAGACGGGGTTTCACCATGTTAGCCAGGATGGTCTCGATCTCTTGACATCGTGATCTGCCCGCCTCGGCCTCCCAAAGTGCTGGGATTACAGGCGTGAGCCACCACACCCGGCCATCTTTTTTAATTTTTTGAGACGGAGTTTTCCTCTGTCGCCCAGACTGGAGTGCAATGGCACGATCTCCTCGGCTCACTGCAACCTCCGCCTCATGGGTTCAAGCTATTCTCCTCCCTCAGCCTCCCGAGTAGCTCGAATTACAGGCATGCACCACCACACCCAGCTAATTTTTTTGTGTTTTTAGTACAGACAGGGTTTCACCATGTTGGCCAGGCTGGTCTTGAACTCCTGACCTCAAGTGATCCGCCCACCTCGGCCTCCCAAAGTGCTGGGATTACAGGGTCCTGTTGTAAGGTGCTAGACTTCCCACCCAGTGGGAGGCTTTAAGAGAGTAAACTCTTACTTACATTCAACAATAATGTATTGTACACTTAAAAGTCTGTTAAGAGGGTAGAGTTCATGTTATGTGTTCTCACCACAACAAAATAAAATACTGTAAACTTTAACTTTAGAGGAAAAAGTAAAGTAAAATAAAGAGACTGCCAGGTACGGTGGCTCACAACTGTAATCCCAGCCTCTCGAGAGACTGAGGCAGAAGGATCTCTTGAAGCCAGGAATTCAAGACTAGCCTGGGCAACATAGCAAAATCTCATCTCAAAAAAAAAAAAAAAAAATTTAAGAGAGAGAGACCAGGCTCTTAACCACCATGGTACTCACAGACCAAAGCCAAGGACCCCTCAACCTGCAGCCCTAACTCTGACATCCGACAGCCAGGAGGCCACCACCAGGCTCTGGCCAGCTTAGTCTCCCCTGAGAAATAATTCACAGAGCACGGAGTATAGGGCAGAAGCGTACTTCTGTTGACAAAAATGACTCTTTCATAACAAGCCCTTCGGTGAGCTCTTGTGCAGCTGTTCTGTGCCATCTGCTTTGCCATCCAGTTCTCCCTTCTCACATGAAGACAGGGCTGCCTGCTAGAGGGGCTGGAGGTGAGCAGGGCATGGCACTGGGAGGTGGGTCCATGGGCTCCAGGAGAGAAGGGTCGCTGGGACCATTTTCTACCGACGGGGTCACGACCCCAGCCCCAGCCCTTTATGGAGATCTGAAGCCACGGGAAGGAAGGGTAGGCAATGGGATGAGAAACAGCACCTTCCTGATCCTAAGTCACCACCCGCTCCATCTGAGCTACATCAGGAAAGCAAGTAATTGGCCGGGCATGGTAGCTCAGGCCTGTAATCCCAGTACTTTTTAAGGCTGAGGCGGGTGGATCACCTGAGGTCAGGAGTTTGAGACTAGCCTGGCCAACATGGCGAAACCCCGTCTCTACTAAAAATACAAAAAATTAGCCGGGCGTGGTGGCGGGTGCCTGTAATCCCAGCTACTCAGAAGGCTGAGGCAGGAGAATCGCTTGAACCTGGGAGGCAGAGGTTGCAGTGAGCCCAGATCGTGCCACTGCACTCCAGCCTGGGCGACAGAGCGAGGTTTCCCAAAAAAAAAAAAAAAAAAAGCAAGTAATTAATCTTTGAGACAGGAACCTGCCCCCCCAGGGAGCAATGAGAGAGGGAGGAGAAGAGACCAAGGGAGCAAAAAGAAAAGCAAAAGGAGAGAGCAAAGACACAGATACCCAGAAACCGGGAGGGAAGTCACCTCTGGAGAGGGAGCAAGCAAAGAAACACTGAAAGCAAGACCCGTTGGGGAAGGAGAACAGCCAGGAAACCATTACAACTGCTCTTCTGCCCCCGGCCAGGGCTTATCTCCCCAGAGGGTGGAGGTAGAGCCTGTGATGAGCCCACAGCCAGAATCACAAACCTGAGGTCAAAGAACCCGCGGCCCCACCTGCTCTCCCAGCCATGCCCGGGCAGTCCTGGGCCAACAGTGCCACCTGCTGGCGGACGGGGAAACTGTGTTCCCATCCACCCGCTCTTCCCGCCGGCTCTTCAGGGGCCTCCTTCCTCATCTTCACACCTGCCAAGCCTGTTCCCACCACCTGGAATGCTCTTCCCCAGACAGCTTCACACTGGCTCCTTTTCTTCCTTCGGGTCTCCTTCAAATGCCACTTCTTTTTTTTTTTCAACTTTCACTGAATTTAGGGTAAGTCACTGGGCATTGCTAGGAAATCGCAGTATTATTTTTGTTTGTTTGTTGTTGTTTTTGAGATGGAGTCTCACTGTCGCCCAGGTTGGAGTGCAATGGCGCGATCTCGGCTCACTGCAACCTCCGCCTCCCAGGTTCAAGCGATTCTCCTGACTCAGCCTCCCGAGTAGCTGGGATTACAGGCGTGCACCACCACACCCTGCTAATTTTTGTATTTTTAGTAGAGATAGGGTTTCCCCATGTTAGCCAGGCTGGTCTCGAACTCCTGACCTCAAGTGATCCGCCAGCCTTGGCCTCCCAAAGTGTTGGGATGACAGGCGTGAGCCACCGCACCCGGCCCAGGATAAGTTAAATTCTAAGACCCAAACTAGTTTTGGTCAAGTGCTCGGCTCATCTCATGCTTGCAGGCCCAGGGACGGCCTCTTGTGGCTCCCCCACAGGGAAGGGCTGGCCGGAGCAGTAGCTGGCCTCCAGCCTGAGAGCCTCTGCCACGCTCCCCCTGGGCCCCCACCGTCACTGGCGTGCCTGCTGCAACCGATCGTGTATGAACCCTCCCCCTTGTTTTTCAAGGGGATTTTTTTTTTTTCTAATAGGAAGCTGATAAAAAGCAACCAAAGAGATGCTGACCAGATGGGATGAATGAGATCCCAGTTCCCAGTCAGAGCTCAAACTGGCTGGTGCCGGGTGGGCTGGGAGAAGAGCTTGGGGATTACAGGCAGGTACCACCACGCCCGGCTAATTTTTGTATTTTTAGTAGAGAGGGGGTTTCACCATGTTATCCAGGCTGGTCTTGAACCCCTGACCTCAGGTGATCCACCCGCCTTGGCCTCCCAAAGTGCTGGGATTACAGGCATGAGCCACCGCGCCAGGCCTCAAATGTCCCTTCTATGGAGAGGCTCTTCCTGACCACCCACCCAGGGTAGCCCCTTCCCCCAGCCCCGAGCCCCACCCTCATCGCCTCACTGTTCTATTTCCTTCGCAGGACTGGGCACTGTCTGAAACCATCTGCGTTCTTCATTCTGTTCTCATCTGCCTCCCTGACTAGAAAGTGCCACAAAACCCAACAGGGTCTGAATTGTCCACTTTTGTAGGACTCACACTCAGAACACGCTTTGGGAATGAGAGCTGTTGGATGTGCGAGTGGGTATCCACTCAGCTGAGCTCTCCTGAGCTAAAGAGCCCAACCACACACACCCCTGGGACGATCCACAAGCTCCTCAAACGCACCACACTCAAGGCCGAAGGCATCATCTTCTCTGCTACTAGGCTTCCCTCCTGCCTCACCCACGTGACTACTTTGCAAATCCCCCAAATGTGAAACCCCCATTTCCATGGGACTTTCTCTTTCTTTCTTTCTCTCTCTCTTTCTTTCTTTCTCTCCTCTCTCTCTCTCGAAACGGAGTCTCGCTGTGACACCAGGCTGAAGTGCAGTGGTGTCATCTCGGCTCACTGCAACCTCCCATTCCCAGGTTCAAGCGATTCTCTTGTCTCAGCCTCCCAAGTAGCTGGGACTACAGGCGTACGCCACCACGCCCAGCTAATTTTTATATTTTTAGTAGAGACGGGGTTTCGCCATGTTGGCCAGGATGGTCTCGATCTCTTGACCTCGTGATCCGCCCGCCTCAGCCTCCCAAAGTGTTGGGATTACAGGCGTGAGCCACCGCGCCCGGCCGGAAATCCTCCTTTCATGCTGCACGTGGGCTAGATGCCTGGGCTCAGGATTCACCTTCTTAGGACCCTAGCCTGGCCCTCCCCTCCAACCCCAGCCAAGAGGACATTCAGGCCCCACCCCTCCTCAGGAGCACAGCAAGCATCTCCTCCCTTCCGCAATCCATCCCCAAAGCTCCCAAGGCCGCCTTCCCAAGTCACCAAGGAGACAGGCGGTTCCCCCATCCCGCTCTTCCAGGGCACCCGTCATCTCGCCGGCAACACACTCAGAGCCTCCCCGAGCGGATCCCCACCCTCGCCTCTGGCTGTTTCCTGCCATGTCCCTCCATCCATTTCGAGAGCCTGGCTCACCGCTTCTCAAACAGCTCTACACACTTCCCCACCCACCCGCAGCCTTTGCCCTTACTGTTTCCTCAGTGTGAAATGCCCCCTGCAGGCCAGGCATGGTGGCTCACGCCTGTAATCCCAGCACTTGGGGAGGCCGAGGCGGGGAGATCACGAGGTTAGGAGATTGAGACCATCCTGGCTAACACGGTGAAACCCTGTGTCTACTAAAAATACAAAAAAAAAAAAAAAAAAAAATTTGCTGGGCGTGGTGGTGGGTGCCTGTAATCCCAGCTACTCGGGAAGCTGAGGCAGCAGAATCGCTTGAACCTGGGAGGAGGAAGTTGCAGTGAGCCGAGATGGCACCACTGCACTCCAGCCGGGGCGACAGAGCAAGACTCCGTCTCAAAAAAAAAAAAAAACAGAAAGAAAGAAAGAAAAAAGAAAAAAAATGCCCCCTGCAACCTTCTCTTCCTAGGGATTCCTTTTCAACCTTCCAGCGCCGCCTCCTTCAAGAAGCCTTCCCTCATTCCACCAGGAAGAATATCTCTATTGGCACTGCCTCATGCTTTGCAGATGACTGTTAAATGTCTGTTTCCTCCAGAGACTGTGAGTTCCTTGGATGCGGGCACCAGACCCTCTTCACACCTAAACGCTCTGTCTTCAGTAACAGCTGCAGTCACGAGCACTAACTCTGCGCCAAGCACCATGCTAAGTGCTTTTCCTATGTTAGCTCATTTCATCCTCAAACATCCCTGTGAGACAGGGACGCTCCTTATCTTCACTTTCCGGATGGGAAAACAAGCTCAGAGAGGTTCAGACGGTTGCCCAAGGTAACCCCAGCAGTGAGTGGCAGAGCCAGGATTCAACAAAGGGATCCCCGGCTCCTAAAACAGAGGCGGCTGGCTACAAATAGGAGCTCGATGAATATTCATCAGATAAACAAACAGCTTCATTTCTCCTGCCTCTGGCCTCGGTGCTGTCAACAGCTCAGTCAAAGCGTGAACACTCATGTTCTTGCTTCCTGTATTCCAATTCTGACCCAGTTCCAACAGCAAAGTTTCTTCTCTTCCCTTCTCCCTCCTCTTGCCCAAATCATGAGCCAAAAACAACCCTGCGGAGACAGGCTGGAGAGATGCTGCTGCTAGGCCTGTGTTTGAAAGGGAAGATGGGACTAGGTGTGGTGGCTCACACCCATAATACCAGCAATTTAGGAGGCCAAGGTGGGAGGATCACTTGAGGCCAGGAGTTCAAGACCAGCCTGGACAGCATAGCAAGACCCCATCTCTATAAGAAACATTTTAAAAATTAGCCAGGTGTGGTGGCACATGCCTGTCATCCCAGCTACGCAGGAAGATTGCTTGTGCCATGAGTTCAAGGCTGCAGTGAGCCACAATTATGCCACTGCACTCCAGCCTGGGGGACAGAGCAACACCTTGTCTCCTAAAAGAGGAAGTGGTGCAGGGAGGCAGCATGATACGTTTTGGGGTAAAATTGGACATTGTACAGAGGCTTCCCTCAAACAGTCCAGGTGCTTCCTTTCGAACCACCACAGGCATCTCCAGCCGCCGCCTCCTCCTCCTCTCTGGCCAAGCCTCTGCTTCTACTTAGTCAACAGAATTTGTGACCCATATGCTATTTCTTTTTTTTTTTTTTTTTTTTTTTGAGACAGAGTTTCGCTTTTGTCACCCAGGCTGGAGTGCAATGGCGCAATCTCGGCTCACTGCAACCTCCGCCTCCCAGGTTCAAGCAATTCTCCTGCCTCAGCCTCCCGAGTAGCTAGGATTACAGGCATGCACCACCATGCCCGGCTAATTTTTGTATTTTTAGTAGAGACAGGGTTTCTCCACGTTGAGGCTGGTCTCGAACTCCTGACCTCAGGTGATCTGCCCGCCTCGGCCTCCCAAAATGCTGGGATTACAGGCGTGAGCCACCATGCCCGGACTTTTTTTTTTTTTTGAGATGGAGTCTAGCTCTGTCACCCAGGCTGGAGTACAGTGGCACAATCTCGGTTCACTGAAACCTCCGCCTCCCGGGTTCAAGTGATTCTCCTGCCTCAACCTCCCAAGTAGCTGAGATTACAGGCGTGTGCCACCATGCCCAGCTAATTTTTGTACTTTAGTAGAGACAGGGTTTCACCATGTTGGCCAGGCTGGTCTCGAACTCCTAATCTCAAGTGATCCATCTGCCTCGGCCTCCCAAACTGCTGGGATGACAGGTGTGAGCCACCACACCTGGCCCATGTGCTGTTTCTTTTTTTCTTTCTTTCTTTTTTTTTTTTTTTTGAGACAGTCTTGCTCTGTCACCCAGGCTGGAGTGCAGTGGCACAATCTCAGCTCACTGCAAGCTCTGCCTCCCGGGTTCACGCCATTCTCCTGCCTCAGCCTCCCGAGTAGCTGGGACTACAGGCGCCCGCCACCACGCCCAGCTAATTTTTTATATTTTTAGTAGAGATGGGGTTTCACCATGTTGGCCAGGATGGTCTCGATCTCCTGACCTCGTGATCCGCCCGCCTCGGCCTCCCAAAGTGCTGGGATGACAGGTGTGAGCCGCCGTGCCCGGCCCCATGTGCTGTTTCTTGTTCAGTCGTGTTGCTTCCCATTCTGCTTGCTTAGTAATTGCTCCACAATTGCTCTGCACCCTTTCCCGCTGCCTTATTGCTTACTGGCCCCTCAGGGCCACTCACTGATTATGTAGTTGCCTCTTTTGACCTTGAGTCAGGAATGCAGCCACCTCTTCTGACCTTGACTGGATGTGTGTGTGAGCTGTGGGTTCTGACGGCCCAGCCGGAGAGGAGCGAGTGGCACACTTTTCTGGAGGGCCCAGAGAGCCCACGTTACGCCATGCGTCCAGGACCACCTCCACTGCAGAGACGATAGTGTATGCTCAATACTCAGGTGGGCTAAGAATGGATGGTCAGGTGCCCAGAGGAAGACAAAGGCAAAATGGCTTTTCAACGAAACTAGAATCCTAACAGTTTTTCTTTCTCAAACACTTACAAATTCCTGAACCCACGCTGTTTGGGGGCGTATGTCGTGCAGACATTGCTGGGGCTCCCCTGACAAAGGTTGGGTTCCAGTTCATTCTGAGGCCCTTAGGCCCCGGGGTGGGAGACCAAAACCCCACAGGACACCAGGACACAGCCCTCCCAGGCAAAGTGGGGGCCCATTGACTCCCTGGCCGATAGGGCTTCAAAAACAGCATCTGGACATCCTGGGTTCCAATGTCAACAGAGAAAATGTCAGGGATGAGGTATCCGGAAGCCAGCCCCATGCCACCCGCCATCCCCATGACACCCCAATCCTCTGCACCCATCTCAGCCACCCATTTACAGCATTTTTCACTTTACCAAGAGACTCGCCACAGGGCTGTGCCTCACCCCAAGGAAGCAGCACTCCCTGAGTAACTGAAATTACAGATGCGCACCACCACACCCGGCTACTTTTTGTATTTTTAGTAGAGACAGGGTTTCACCATGTTGGTCAGGCTGGTCTAGAACTCCTGACCTCACAGCTGCCTCAGCCGCTCAAAGTGCTGGGACTGGGGGGAGTGGGGAGGGATAGCATTAGGAGATATACCTAATGTTAAATGAAGAGTTAATGGGTGCAGCACACCAACATGGCACATGTATACATATGTAACAAACCTGCACGTTGTGCACATGTACGCTAAAACTTAAAGTATAATTAAAAAAAAAATTTCCCCAAAGGAAAAAAAAAAAGTGCTGGGATTATAGGCGTGAGCCACCTTTTCTTAAAAAAAAAAAAAAAAAAAAAAACAAAAAAAAACAGGGTTTTATTGTCCTCCAGGCGGAGTACGGTGGTGTGATCATAGCTCACTGCAGCTTCCCACTCCTGGGCTCAAGCAATCCTCCCACCTGACTCCCAAGTAGCTGAGACTACAGGCACATACCACACAACACCTGGCTAATTGTTTTTTAATTTTCTTTGGCAACGAGGTTTCACCATGTTGCCCAGGCTAGTGTTAAACTCCTGGGCTCAAGTGATCCTCTGGCCTCAGCCTCCCAAAGTGCTATGATTACAGGCGTGAACCACGGCGCCCAGCCTAACAGCTATTTTTGTTGCTGTTATAATGGCAATCGGCAAAGACCGTGTTTGTGCCTTTTGGGGAACTGTTTCTGAGCATGAATGAGGCTGTATGTGTGAACCTGGGTGACCCTGCGTGGTCATGTCTCAATGGTACATACCTGTGTGTGTGTGTGCGTGAATGCAAGAGACACCAGGACCCACGACATATTATGCTTGAACTGGGTGCTGACCATGGGATTGGGCAACCCTGGAGGTGACAGTTCTGTCTGCCCAAGGAGGCAGGAGCTGCATCTGAAATCCTCACTGCCCCAGACACCAGCTTGCCGCCTCCTCCTCCTCAGCACCACCCGGTGGCACTGGCTTTATGCGGTTCAGATGCCTTCTGGCCTGGGGGTCCAGGGACGTTTCTGCAGTGCGTAATCCATCATAGACAGCATAGACTCTCTGGGCTTGTCCAGCCCTTGGAAGTCCTCCAGGGGAGTCTGGACCTCATTCTCAACCAGCGCTGTACAGTAGAACTTTCTGGGATGATGAAAATGTTCTGTAATGTTCTGTACCTGCGTTGTTCCCTATGGTAGCCACCAGCCACATGTGGCTACTGAGCCCTTGAGATGTGGCTAGTGCAACCGAGGAGCTGCATTTTTAATTGTACTTAATTCACTTAAATTTAAAACACCACACTTGGCGGGGCAAGGTGGCTCACACCTGTAATCCCAGCACTTTGGGAGGCCAAGGCGGATGGATTGCTTGAGACCAGGAGTTCAAAACCAGCCTGGGCAACATGGCAAAACTTCATCTCTACAAAAAAAAAAAAATTAGCCAGGCATGGTGGCAGATGCTGTGGTCCCAGCTACTCCGGAGGCTAAGGTGGGAGGATCGCTTGAGCCTAGGAGGTGGAGGTTGCAGTGAACTGTAAGCGTGCCACTGCACTCCAGCCTGGGCGACAGAGCGAGACTCCGTCTCAAAAAAAAAAAAAAAAAAAAGGTGTAAAGAAATACATCAGAATGATAACATTTTGGGTGATGGGTCATATTTTTATTTTTTAATCTCTATTTGTACATATTCTCTAAATGTTCTACAGTGAGCATGTACTATTTTTATAATCAGGAAAAGTGCTATTTTTAAAGAGGGGAAAAAAGAATGTAGCAATATATGGAAATGCTTGTGACACAGAAAAAGGGTGAAGAGAAGCGCATCCCTGGGCCTGTGGAGAGGGACTCGAGGGAGGCTCAGACACAGCGATCTGACAGTGGAGCCATGAGGGTTTCCAAGCGCTTATTCAGAGATCTGTTCATGTTTGTATAATAAAGAATAAAATAATAGGCAGGACGCGGTGGCTCATGCCTGTAATCCCAGCACTTTGGGAGGCCGAGGCAGGCAGATCAACAGGTCAGCAGTTCGAGAGCAGCCTGGCCAACATAATGAAACCTATCTCTACTAAAAATACAAAAAAAAAAAAAAAAACCATTATCCGGGCCGTGGTGGCGGGCACCTGTAGTCCCAGCTACTTGGGAGGCTGAGGCAGGAGAATTGCTTGAACCCGGGAGGCGGAGATTTTAGTGAGCCGAGATCATGCCACTATACAGAGTGAGACTCCGTCTCAAAATAAAATAAAATAAAATATGCTTCTGTCACTCAAATCAACATGAAAATCAAACATCAGTGAGGACGTGGGGAATGGGAATCATAGAATTGGGAGCAGTGAAAATACTAAGTCCTCTTTTTTTTTTTTTTTTTGAGACGGTGTCTCTCATTGCTGCCCAGGCTGGAGTGCAGTGATGAGATCTCAGCTCACTGCAGCCTCTGCCTCCCGTCTTCAAGTGATTCTCCTGCCTCAGCCACCCTAGTAGCTGGATTACAGGCACCCGCCACCACACCTGGCTAATTTTTGTGTTTTTAGTAGAGACGGGGTTTTGCCATGTTGGCCAGGCTGGTCTCGAGCTCCTGACCTCAAGTGATCCGCCCACCTTGGCCTGCCAAAGTGCTGTGATTACAGGCGTGAGCCACCGCGCCCAGCCTAAGTCCTCTCTTGAGGGCAATCTGGCAGCATCCAGTAGA
The DNA here is from genome assembly GCF_000001405.40 of Homo sapiens. Lineage (NCBI taxonomy): Eukaryota > Metazoa > Chordata > Mammalia > Primates > Hominidae > Homo > Homo sapiens. The sequence continues at coordinate 2,820,298 of NC_000017.11, read as the reverse complement.
GCTGCGACCCAACAGCCCCACCTCTAGGTACCCCTCATGACCTCACACAAACGCACAGAGGGCCAGGCAAGGGGAAAGCCACTGCCTGCAGCATTGCTTGCAATATCAGAAAATGGAAACGACCTAGGTGTCCAGCAAGAGGGGATCAATGGGGGATACAAAAAAAATGTGATCTATTTGTACAAATTAATATGCATGGCACCAAAAAGAAAAAACTAGGCCAGAAGTGGTGGCTCCCGCCTGTAATCCCAACACTTTGGGAGGCCAAGGTTGGAGAATCATTTGAGCCCAGAAGTTTGAGACAGCAAGATGGTGAAACCTCATCTCTACAAAAATTTCTTAAAAACTTAACCAAGCATGGTGGTGCATGCTGTAGTCCCAACCACGTGGGAGGCTGAGGTTGGAGAATCACTTGAGCCCTGGGGGTATTGAGGCTACAGTGAGCCAGGATCACACCACCTTGAGCAACAGAGTGAGATCCTGTCTCAAAAAAAAAAAAAAAAGGAGAAAGAGAGAAGAAACTAGATCTATCACCAGGCGCTGAGGCTCATGCCTGTAATCCCAGCACTTTGGGAGGCCGAGGCAGGTGGATCATCTGAGGTCAGGAGTTCAAGACCAGCCTGGCCAAAAAACCCCGTCTCTACCAAAAACACAAAAATTAGCTGGGCATGGTGGCATGCACCTGTAATCCCAGCTACCCAGGAGGCTGAGGCAGGAGAGTCGCTGGAACCCGGGAGGCAGAGGCTGCAATGAGCCGAGATTGCACCACTGCACTCCAGCCTGGGTGACAGAGCAAGACTCCGTCAAAAAAGAAAAAAAAAAGTGTGTGGTGGCATGCTCCTGTGATCCCAGCTGCTTGGAAGGCTGATGCAAGAGAATCACTTGTACCCAGGAGGCAGAGGTTGCAGTCAGCCAAGATCCTGCCACTGCACTCCAGCAGAGCAAGACTCAGTCTCCAAAAAAAGAAAAAAAAAAAAAAAGCAAGGCATGGTGGCTCACATCTGTAATCTCAGCACTTTGGGAGGCCAAGGCAGGCAGATGATGAGGTCAGGAGATCGAGACCATCCTGGCTAACACGGTGAAACCCCGTCTCTACTAAAAATACAAAAAAAATTAGCCGGGTGTGGTAGCGGGCGCCTGTAGTCCCAGGTACTTGGGAGGCTGAGGCAGGAGAATGGCGTGAACCTGGGAGGCGGAGCTTGCAGTGAGCCAAGATCGCGCCACTGCATTCCAGCCTGGGCGACAGAGTGAGACTCTGTCTCAAAAAAAAAAAAAATAGACTTTACAACCATGTGGACAGACACACATGCAGAACGATAATGGTAATATATCCATCCTGTGTCTGCTACATCCCCTCTCTGTTCTAAGCACTAGACATGTATAAACTTACTCAGTCTCCAAAACAACCCTTGCAGTAGGTTTCAGGCTTTGCTATTAGTCCAGTTTCAAAGATTAGAAAAGGGAGGCATGGAGAGATGAAGGAACCTGCCTGAGGTCTCACAGCTGCTGCGTGTCAGAGCCAAGATCTGAACCCAGGCAATCTAGCGCCAGAACGCCACCTCACACAAATTCAAAAGGATGTCAGGTATGTCCCTTTTTAATGCACACAAAAACTATAAATGTTTCTAGATACCTGTGTATGAATGTGAAAGCATTAAAAATGTGGGCTGAGGCCGGGCACGGTGGCTCACACCTGCAATCCCAAAACTTTGGGAGGCCAAGGCAGGTGGATCACTTGAGGTCAGGAGTTCAAGACCAGCCTGGCCAACATGGTGAAACCCCATCTCTACTAAAAAAAAATACAAAAATTAGCCGGGCGTGGTGGCACGCACTTGTAATCCCAGCTACTTGGGAGGCTGAGGCAGGAGAATTACTTGAACCGGGAGGCGGAGGTTGCAGTGAGCCAAGATCGCACCACTGCACTCCAGCCTGGGCAACAGAGACTCCGTCTCAAAAATAAATAAATAAATAAATAAATAAATAAATAAATAAATAAATAAATAAAGTGGGCTGAGAGAAAACACAAAATTCCTGCTAATGGTAGCCCCTATGGATGGAAGAAATAGAGGAACGGAGGCAAGCAGAAATGATGACCGGAACTTAACTTTATGTGTGTGTTTTATTTCTTTAATTTTAAAAAAAGCTAAAAAAATTAAACATAGAGGCCGGGCGCAGTGGCTCACGCCTGTAATCCCAGCACTTTAGGAGGCCGAGGAGGGCAGATCACGAGGTCAGGAGATTGAGACCATCCTGGCTAACACAGTGAAACCCCGTCTCTGTTAAAAATACAAAAAATTAGCCAGGCGTGGTCGTGGGCACCTGTAGTCCCAGCTACTCGGGAGGCTGAGGCAGGAGAATGGCATGAACCTGGGAAGCAGAGGTTGCAGTGAGCTGAGATTGTGCCCTACATTCCAGCCTGGGCAACAAAGCCAGACTCCATCTCAAAAACAAAACAAAACAAAAACAATTAAACATAGAGGCCAGACGCAGTGGCTCATGCCTGTAATCCTAACACTTTGGGAGGTTGAGGCAGTTGGATTGCCTGAGGTCAGGAGTTCAAGACCAGCCTAGCCAACATGGTGAAACCCCGTCTCTACTAAAAATACAAAATTTAGCCGTGTGTGGTGGCAGGCGCCTGTGATCCCAGCTACTTGGGAGGCTGAGGCAGGAGAATCACTTGAACCAGGGAGGCGGAGGTTGCAGTGAGCCGAGATCATGCCACTTCACTCCAGCCTGGGCAACACAGTAAAACCCTGCCTCAAAAAAAAAAAAAACTATACATAGAATTGCCATACGATCAGCAATTCTGCTCCTAAATAGATACCCAAAAGAACTGAAAACAGAGACCCAGATATTTATACACCTACGTTCACTGTGGCATTATTCGCAACAGCAAAAAAAAATTGGAAGCAACTCAGATGTCCATCAGTGAACACATGGATAAACAAAATGTGATACATGCAACAATGGGATATTATTCAGTCTTAAAAGGAAAGGAAATTCTAGGCCAGGCATGGTGGCTCACCCCTGTAATCCCAGCACCTTAGGAGGCCGAGGCAGGCGGATCACCTGAGGTCAGGAGTTCAAGACCAGCCTGGCCATCATGGCGAAACCCTATCTCTATCTCTACTAAAAATACAGAAATTAGCCTTGTGTGGTGGTGCACACCTGTAATCCCAGCTACATAGGAGGCTGAGGCACGAGAAACGCTTGAGCCTGGGAAGTGGAGGCTGCAGTGAGCCAAGATCATACCACGGCAATCCAGCCTGGGCAACAGAGCAAGACCCCATCTCAAAAAAAAAAAAAAAAAAAAAAAGGAAATTCTGACACACGCTACAACATGGATGAACCTTGAAGACATTATGGGAAGTGAAATAAGCCAGACACAGAAGGACAAGTACTGTGTGATTTCACCTATACACAGTTCACCGAGCAGTCAAATTCATAGAAACAGAAAGCAGAATGGTGGCTGCAGGGTGCTGTGGAGATGAGGGAATAGGGAGTTATTATTTAATGTATACGAAGTTTCAGTTTGGGATGATGAAAAACTTCTAGAAATAATGGTGATCCTTGCACAGCATTGTAAATGTACTTAATGTCACAGAATGGTGCACTTAAAAATGCTTTAAATGGTAAGTTTTATAATATGTATATTTTAACACAGTTTTTTAAAAAGACTTTGATGTAATCCCAGCACTTTGGGAGGCCGAGGTGGGTGGATCACCTGAGGTCAGGAGTTCGAGACCAGCCTGGCCAACATGGTGAAACCCCATCTCTACTAAAAAATATAAAAATTAGCCAGGTGTGGTGTCGGGCGCCTGTGATCCCAGCTACTCAGGAGGCTGAGGCAGGAGAATCGCTTGAACCCGAAAGGCGGAGGTTGCAGTGAGCCAAGATCGCGCCACTGCACTTCAGCCTGGGCGACAGAGTGAGACTCCGTCTCAAAAATAAATAAATAAATAAGAGGGTTTGATGAAAATGAGAAAAAATGTTAACAAGTGTCAATTCTGAGTCATGAGTACTCAGAGGTTTGCATGTCATTATCCTAAGAAAAAAAAAAAACAAAACAAAACAGCACCTCTGTATGGTCAGCAATGTGGAAAAAAGGACCTTAGCAGGCAGGATGCCCCCGGAGCCGGCTCGGGCCTCTTCCAGCTCTTCCCTCCCCCGCCTATTTTTACCAGATTATGGTTGCTATGGAAACAAGGGGCACCTTGGGCTCCCAGAGCTCAGCCCAGGTGCTGCTAACTCAAGGAATAAGGTCAGAGTGTGAATCAAATAAAAACCCGCTTGTCTGGGCCTTGTGTACACACACGTCTGCCCTTCTGACCACGTCCAGCCAGTGACTGCGTCCACGCATGTACCACAGGGATGCTCTGTCCTCAGCAGGGAGGCCTGGGTCCCGGTACACAATGCTCAGTGTGCCTGCGTAGGTACGCCTGCAGGCACGAGGGCACATCGCACAGTTACACGTGTGTGACCGCACAGCCCAGGACTGTTGTTAATATCGGAAATGGGGCCGGGTGCGGTGGCTCGCGCCTGTAATCCCAGCACTTTGGGAGGCCAAGGTGGGCGGATCACCTGAGGTCAGGAGTTCAAGACCAGCCTGGTCAACGTGGTGAAACCCCATCTCTACTAAAAATACAAAAATTAGCTGGGCGTGGTGGTGCGCGCCTGTAATCCCAGCTACTCAAGAGGCTGAGACAGGAGAATCGCTTGAACCGGGGAGGTGGAGGTTGCAGTGAGCTGAGATTATGCCACTGCAATCCAGCCTGGGTGACAAAGCGAGACTCTGTCTCAATAATAATAATAATAATAATAATAATAATAATAATAATAATATCAGAGATGTTAAGGCAGGTTACATGTGTTGAGCACTAGGTACCAGGCACTCTGTTCCCATTTCACCTGGATAATCTCATTTAAGCCTCACAACAAGCGCACCCACGTGCAGGTACTGTTATTATCCTCAGACAAAGAAACTGGGGCACAGAGAGGTTGCGCAGCCTGCCCCAGGTCACCCAGAGTACGTGAACCTGACTGCTGGAGCCGCACTGTGGGGGAAAGTGCTTTAAACGGCACTGGTTCCCGTGCAGCTGTGAAGCCAGCTGCCTCATCAGCAGCACCTCAGCGCTGGTAACACACAGGTTTCCTGGGCCCCACCCAGGCTGATGAGGCAGAATCCCCAAGCCCCAGGGTGGGGTCCGGAAGCTGCATTTTAACGAGGTCCCCTAGGTGATTCTGTACTGCAGCCAGGGTGGGCAGCCATGGGTCCAGCCTACGTTCAGCTGCCTGACAGGGTTGAACAGGGCATGGCAGGGTGGGACAGGGGCTGTCCCTCCCAAGTCCCGTTCCCGAGCTCGTAGAACAAAGCTCCTCAATTCCACGGGGCGTCTGCTGGTGGCAAAGCACCGAAGAAAGGGGCAATGGCTGCCGTCAACCCTCCCCCCCAACACCCCAGGGCAGGGCTACAAAAGTCAGTTATGTGGCTTTGTGGTCTGCCAGGCACGGATTTCCGCCCACTCCACCCTCTCAGAATGAGCTGGGTGTTGGGGTTGGGGGGGGTGGTACCACACTGCGGTAACCTACTGGTTCACAGCTCAACCCAAGGTAGGGAGGGGACAGCCACCTCACCTGGGTAACAAACAGTGAGACAGCCCGAGCTGGGCACGCTAGAGGCTCCCACGGTCTCAGACCCCAAGTGGGGAGGAACTCAGACAGAAACCACCAGATCCCCACGGCGCGGGAGGAGCTGCATGTGACCTGAGGTTCCGGCTGCCCCAGGGGCACAAGGAAGAGAGCCTTCCATGCCGATGGGGAAGGGGCTGTGCGTGGAGGAAGCTGCATGGAAGCTGGCCCTGGAAGGACGGGCAGGTTGTGACCCTGATGCTGACAGGGAAGGGGCAGCAAAGGCATGTTCCCTGTGGGCAGAGCAGCACAGCCACAGGCGAAAGTGCCCAGCCACACACAGCAAGTTCCACCCTCGGGCTGCAGCTGAAGATCAAGAGGAGGCACGATTGTGAGAAAACAAAACCAGAACTGACAGAGGCACAGAGAGGTTAAGTAACTTGTCCAAGGTCACCCAGCTGGTAGAGTCAGGATTTAAACAGAGGCTGCCTGACTGCCAAGCCCACAAATCAATCAGTAAGCTGGGGTCCCCACTTGGTGTCCTTTGCCCCTTTTCTTCTGTGAATATTTGAGAATGCTGTCAAGGTGAACCTACTAGGCCTAGAACAGTAGTTTTCAACGGAGTCGGGGAGATTTTATACCACTGCCCCAGAAATAGAGCAACGTCTGGAGACATTTTCTTTTTTTCTTTTCTTTTTTCTTTTTTTTGAGATGGAGTCTCACTCTGTTGCCCAGGCTAGAGTGCAATGGTGCGATCTCGGCTCACTGCAACCTCCGCCTCCCGGGTTTAAGTGATTCTCCTGCCTCAGCCTCCCGAGTAGCTACGATTACAGGCACGTGCCACCATGCCCGGCTAATTTTTTGTACTTTTTTAGTAGAGACAGGGTTTCACCATGTTGGCCCGGCTGGTCTCGACGAACTCCTGACCTCAGGTGATCCACCTGCCTGGGCCTCCCAAAGTGCTGGGATTTGTGAGCCACCATGCCTGGCCTGGAGACATTTTCATTATCACAGTGAGGGGTGGGTTGTGGGCATCTTGTGGATACAGGCTAGAGAGGCTGCGCAACACCCTACAACGCACAGGATGGCACCGTAAAACAAAGAGTCAGCCAGCCTCAAATGTTACCAGAAGCCCTGGCCCAGAGGGCTCACGCCCACCAGGAGCCCATTTTAACATCCAGCCTGACCTGAGTCATTGCCCAACCACTGACGGTCACCACACTTGTGTATCCCTTGGGGAAGTGCTTCCCAGGTTTGGCTGCCTATTGGAATGAACGGGGGATCTTTTAAAAGTATAGTTGGGCACCGCAGCTCACGCCTGTATTCCCAGCACTTTGGGAGGCTGAAGCAGGCAGATCACGAGGTCAGGAGTTCGAGGTCAGCCTGGCCAACATGGCTACTAAACCCCATCTCTACTAAAGATACAAAACATTATCTGGGCATGGTGGCATGCACCTGTAATCCCAGCTACTCAGGAGACGGAGGCAGGAGAAATCGCTTGAACCTGGGAGGCGGAGGTTGCAGTGAGCCAAGATTGCACCACTGCACTCCAGCCTGGGCGACAGGGCGAGACTCCATCTCAAAAAAAAAAAAAAGTACTGATGCTGGGTTCTACCCTCCGACATTCAGATTTAATTGGAACTGGGTACAACCTGGGCATCAGAATTTTTTTTTTTTTTTGAGACGGAGTTTCACTCTTGTTACCCAGGCTAGAGTGCAATGGTGCGATCTCGGCTCACTGCAACTTCCATCTCCCGGGTTCAAGCGATTCTCCTGCCTCAGCCTCCTGAGTAGCTAGGATTACAGGGAACCACCACCACGCCTGGCTAGTTTTTGTATTTTTAGTAGAGACAGGGTTTCATTATATTGGTCAGGCTGGTCTCGAACTTCTGACCTCAGGTGATCCACCCACCTCGGCCTCCCAAAATGCTGGGATTACAGGTGTGAGCCACTGCGCCCAGCCGGCATCAGAATTTTTAAAAGCACCTCCAGGTGAAACCAAATTGTAGAAAAGTTTGAGAACCACCGTCCTGGGGGAGGGAAGGAAGGAACAAACAAACTATTTGCTGTGACCCAAAGACAGCCCCCCACCAGATGGGGGCTGGGGGTCCCTACACCAGCATCCTGGCATGAGAAGCCCATCAGAGTCAGCACTATCAAGGTCTGCCTTCGGGCCAGCGTCTAGTAATAGGGAAGGCAGAGCTGGAGCCAGCTTGAGGGATGAAGAGTTAGTCACAGCTGGCAGAGACCGGAGGAGGAGGTTAATTAGAAAGCCTGTGTCACTGGGCAGGAGATAATGGGCCTGAACCGGGAGACAGGAGGAACCACCCCCCCATGACTCAGAGGCTTCTCAACCCAGTGACAGAAAAGAACTGGATCTGAAAGAGAGAAAAGGTTAATTGAGAGTCAGTTCAGTCTGGGAACAGAGCCGAAATGACCAGCCAGCCACTGAGGTCGGGGCAAGAGCACTGTTCTTGGGGATGACCTGGGGAGAGGGACTTGGGAGTCAGCCACAAAGAAACAAGAGCTGAGGCCTAAGGAGGTGAGCAGAGCAGAGGGTCCGGCTGACTCTGGTCTGCAGGGTAGGCTGCGGCCAGCTCTGTTCTTTAAAGTCTGCAGTTAGTTGTCAAGATTTTGTCTAAAACTCCAGATTTCCGGCCAGGCGCAGTGACTCATGCCTGTAATCCCAGCACTTTGGGAGGCCGAGCTGGGGGGATCACCTGAGGTTGGGAGTTCGAGACCAGCCTGGCCAACATGGTGAAACCTCGCCTCTAGTAAAAATACAAAAATCAGGCCAGGCGCAGTGGCTCACGCCTGTAATCCCAGCACTTTAGGAAGCAGAGGTGGGCGGATCACCTGAGGTCAGGAGTTCGGGACCAGCCTGCTCAACGTGGTGAAACCCTGTCTCTACTAAAAATACAAAAAATTAGCCAGAAATGGTGGCGCATGCCTGTAATCCCAGCTACTCGGGAGACTGAGGCAGGAGAATCACTTGAACCCGGGAGGCAGAGGTTGCAATGCACCAAGATCGTGCCATTGCACTCCAGCCTGGGTGACAGAGCGAGACTCCGTCTCAAAAAACAAAAAAACAAAAAAATACACACACAAAGAAACGGATTTCCAGCTGCTGTTATAAAATGGAAGATCCGCTAAGACAGGCCAGCATTCTTGCAGTGCCCAAGAGCTGAGGGTCCAAGTCAGAAAGCAGCAAGGATGGAGCTGATGGAGAAGCAGGAAAAGAACCAGGGGCCAGCACGTCACAGACGACAAGAGCAGCCCCTCACGTCCCGACCCTGCCCTGACCACCTCTGTGTTGTCCTATCGCAAGTTAGCAGCACCCCTGCTCAGGGTCTCAGCTTACTGATCTGTAAATAAGGAGGGTGAGGCCCATCGCCTCTAGCTGTCCATCCTCGTGTCCATGGGGCTCCTGCAGGGTGCCTGCAAAACCTGAACCCTTCCGACAAAGATCAGCCCAGGCAGGTGAGGAATCCCAAATATAGCTGCAGAGGCCGGGGTGACCAGCCAAGGGGAGGGAAGGGAAGACTCAGGGTGAAAAAGCAGCCTTCCAGTGTCTGCAGGGCTCTTAGTGGAAAGAGGGGTGAACCTTGTTGAATGGGGGTAAGTGGGGACGTGCGGGCCAAGGGTCAAGACTGGACCGAGCAATGCAGTTACAGAGATTCCAGATGAAAACAGCGGTCAGCTTCGAGCAAAGTTGTACTACAATAAAATAGGCATCCATACAAGGTAATGAGCTCACTGTCCCCACAGGTAACCAAGCTCAGCCTGGGTGACTAGTTTTAGGGGCACAGGAGATTTGCATAAAGACTAATTTGACTTTTGTTGGCCAGGCGCGGTGGCTCACGCCTGTAATCCCAGCACTTTGGGAGGCTGAGGCGGGCGGATCACGAGGTCAGGAGTTTGCGACCAGCCTGACCAACGTGGTGAAACCCCATCTCTACTAAAAATACAAAAATTAGCCGGGTGTGGTGGCGCATGCCTGTAATCCCAGCTACTCAGGAGCCTAAGGCAGGAGAATCACTTGAACCTGGGAGGCAGAGGTTGCAGTGAGCCAAGATCGTACCATTGCACTCTAGCCTGGGTGACAGAGCGAGACTCCGTCTCAAAAAAAAAAAAAAAAAAAAAAAAAAGGGTGGGGGGACAGGGGAGGGATAGCATTAAAAGACATACCTAATGTTAAATGACGAGTTAATGGGTGCAGCACACCAACATGGCACATGTATACATATGTAACAAACCTGCATGTTGTGCACATGTACCCTAGAACTTAAAGTATAATTAAAAAAAAAAAACGACTAATTTGACTTTTTAAATCTCAAGCCCTAAGATTCAAAGACTCTAGAGATCTGGGGGTCTCTCCTGAAGGTTCCCCTCTCCCTCTCCCAGCGCCCCCAGGGAAGGCCATCGGGGATTAGGTTCTGGACTCTGCCTCCCAGGGAGGGAAGGCCGGGGTGGTCCAGACAAAGCTCGCAAGGTCCACATTTGCTCCCCTCGCCCTTCACCAGGGCCTCAGCCCTCTGTCCAGCCCTAGCAACTCCTGCTCCACACACAGCCCCCGGTCCCAGCATAGCCTCACCCAGAGCCTTCTCAGAGGCAGAGGAAGGAACTCCTGGGGTGGGGCGGGGGGAGGGGAGGGTCCCAGCACAAGCCAGAGGGGCCACTGACAGCCCCTATTGACACTCACATCCCCAACTCCCTGCTAGCTGCCCCAGAGGAGCCAGCGGGAGGAAGGGGATAGAAGGTGCCACCCCGCTCCCAGACACCAGCGTCGTCTCTGTACGGCCCCTGAGGGCTGCTTGGGCCCCTGTCCATCAAGAGCCTCTCCCGCGGTGGCTGGAGAGGGGTGTCCTGACACACCCATGGGTCTGCAGTGTGTAGACAAGAAGCACCAGGGGGTGCACAATCTGGGGAGGCACGAGTCTTTCTCCAGAGCCAAGTGGGAGCAATTCTTCCCCGGCCTTGGCCAAATCCAGCTCCCAGCGAGCCGGGCAGAGCCCTCTGGCCTCTTCCACAGGACCGTGAGTCTTCCCATCCAGGCCAGGCCAGCAGGCCTCTGGGCCTGGGGAGACCAGCGAGGAAGCCCAAGTGCATGGCCAGAGGCCTGGGGGTTCATGAGGACCCGGGGAGCTGAGAGGGGTGAGGGGGGCCTCCGGGGATGGTTGGGTCTCGGCTGGCGGGCCACAGGCCACCCGGTCCACATTTTCCTCTCCGGCGTCCTTGCCCATACCCTCACACTCACACGGTTAGCCCTGTCCATGGGACCCACAAGGACCATGCCACTCCACCAGCCACATGGAAAACACCCTCACGGGCTCCGTGAATAGGCAAAGCCCCTCCTGCCCACTGTCCCACACTCATCTCAGAAGAGCCCCAATTCCTGGTACCTACTGGCCAGGGCTGCCAGCCGGCTCCCTGCCTGCCCATCAGCAGATACCCACAAGACCTGGCCAAGTCCGGGGAGCTGTTTGTCCAATGAGAAACCAGAACAGGGACTCACCAGGGCTTCCTGGGCATGGCAGGGACTGGCCAGGAGGAGGGCCAGGAGCACATGGGTCTTGGAGTCTGCAGACCTTGCCGCCTGGCAAATGGTACCTCCAGGAGCAGCCCCGGTGCCTGGTAATGAAATCAAGCCAACCACCGGCTAAGCGCTCGCCTTCCCTGCTTCTCCCTGCAGCCACGCACGCCCCGAGACTCCAGATCCCAAAACAGGCATGTTCATGGTTACCATAGGAACTCGCTAAAGCCAAAAAAGGCACCACATAGGCACCCACATGGGCCCTCAGCGCTCACGTCCACCTGCATGGGCGAGCGTGCACACACGCCTACACGTATCTGCACACACCCACATGCCCCCACACATGCCAACACTGTCCTCAGGCACAGGGCCCATCCTGAAGAAATCAACGAACCAGAGTCTGCCACTCAAGACAGAAATGGGCACATTCTCCTCGACCCACCTGGAGGGTATCTAACAGTGGGTTCTGTGGTGTGGCCAGCTGTCAGTCACAAGGGCGGCCACACCGGCCAGTGCTCACCTGGAACTCACCTGCCAAAGGCACCCAGGAGCCGAGCCGGGCCAGCGAGGGGACGCCGTGCAGCTGCTTCCCAGGCCGCAGACCAGCCCCCACGGCCCTCAGGATGCTGCTCTCTCCTCTGCCCCCTTCCACAGGGCAGGAGGTATATGGTGGGTCTCAGACAGACCAAACAGGAGAGTGGAAAGTGGAGGGAAGATTTTACATTCAGAGTCTTACTCCCTCCTTCCCCGCCCAAACTGCCCAAACTCGCTAGTTCTCCGTCTCCATGAATGGGACCAGCATCCACCCAGCGCTCACAGGAAGCCTTCTGAGAGTCCTCAGCTGACCCTTCTTCTCACCTTCACCCACACCTTCCAAACCAGCTCCAGGCAGGGAAGGCCACTCCCTCCAGCCCCATGCTATTATGGGACTTTCTCCTGAGCTCAGCTCAAAACGGGGTCCTTGTCACACCACCAAGAAAGATTAGGCTCTTGGACACGACAGAAGGGTGAGAACAACGGGATTTACTGGGCGAAAGGAAAAAAGCTCAGCAAAGCAAGAGAGGTTCCTGTTAACAGGCCTCCATCTCACAGGTTGGATCCCCAGGTTACCACCTCCAAACAGGAATGGCCAGGATCCTCCCCGCTGGAAACAGTGCGAACTTCCCGAGGCCTCACCCCAGGGCGCAGGCCAGCGGAGGGTCTCCGGGGACCTCTTTACGTGGCTGTCTCAATATCCCCTCCTGGCCGCCCTGCCTCCTCTCTAACCCCTCCAGTCAGCCAGAGGGGCTCTCAGACTCGAGCTCACCATAGCATTCCCCTAGTCCTAAGCCCTTTGATCCAGCCCCACTTCCAGCATAGCTCACCTACCCTCCCAGACGTGGCCTGCCTTCCCCCAGCCCCCTGCACTCCCACCCTCGCTTCTGTCTGGTAATAGTAACTGCTCCCAGGTCCCACCTGCTGAAGCTGCTTCACGCCCCACTGCCTTCGTGAGGGTCGGGCTACCTGGAGTGCATTCTCTCCTCCCTGCTGACCTTACGCACCCCTGGAGACAGCTCAGGCATCACCAGGTCTCCAGGAGGCCCCCCTCCATCCTTTCTGTGGGCATCGCAGCCCTTGTCCCGTGCCATGGCAACTGTCTCCCTGCAGAGTGTAGGTGCCCAGTAAATGTAGGCTGAACTGACTCAGCTGTCTACCCCCAAAAACCTCAAGCTCCCCCTGTCCTTGACAACCCCAGCAAACTCTCAGCAGATGCCCTAGGTGTGTAGGAGAAGAGCAGACTAAGATGAGTTGGCCCCAGAGGGTTCTAGAACATCGTAGTGGTGCCTCAAGAATTCTTGTAATCTACAGTAAACAAAGACCCAGTGGCCAAAGGTGGGGGAATGAATTGGTAGGTGTGGCCTTCAACTGGTGAATGAAAAGAGTCATTAAATTGGAATCAACGGCCGGAGGCGGTGGCCCAAGCCTGTAATCCCAGCACTTTGAGAGGCCGAGGCAGGCGGATCACCTGAGGTCGGGAGTTTGAGACCAGCCTGGCCAACACGGCGAAACCCCGTCTCTACTAAAAATACAAAAATTAGCCACAAAAACGTGCCCCATGTTGTGCATAATTCTCACAGCATGGGGAGGGAAGCCTGAGTTTAAAGGGTTGTGGCAGACCAGGCACAGTGGCTCATGCCTGTAATCACAGCACTTCGGGAGGCCGAGGCAGGTGGATCGCTTGAGGCTAGGAGTTTGAGACCAGCCTGGCCAACATGGCAAAACCCCGTCTGTACTAAAAATACAAAAAAAATAGTTGGGTATGGTCCTGAGGCAGGAGGATCACTTGAACCCAGGAGGCAGAGGTGTCACAGTGAGCCAAGATCATGCCACTGCACTCCAGCCTGAGAGAGAGTGAGACTCTGTCTCAAAAATAATAATAATAAATAAAAATAATAATAATAGACCAGGCCCAGTGGCTCACACCTGTAATCCCAGCACTTTGGGAGGCCGAGACAAGTGGATCATCTGAGGTCACGAGTTCAAGACCAGCCTGGCCAACACAGCGAAACCCCGCCTCTACTAAAAAAAAATACAAAAAGTAGCCGGGCACGGTGGGCCGCACCTGTAATCCCAGCTACTCGGGAGGCTGAGGCAGGAGAATCGCTTGAACCCAGGAGGTGGAGGTTGCAGTGAGCCGAAATTTCACCACTGCACTCCAGACTGGGCGACAGAGCGAGACTCCCTCTCAAAATAATAATAATAATAATAATAATAATAATAAAAAGGTTGTAGCAGAGAAGAAATCAAGCTTCCTGGCTGTGGCAAGCCCCTGCTCTCATGGACAATGTCTCCAGCAGCTGACACTGGAGTCCCCAGGGACCTAGGAAAGCTGCCCGGAGACACACTGAGCCCTGTCCTTCATGGCCCCTTCATTTCTAGCAGGATTTTCAATTCTTAGCTGGTTAAATCTGAAACTTAGAATAGCGGTGGCTGTGTGGTATCTTCTGGCCAAACCACAGTAGAACTGACATGCTGGCCCAGCCAAGCAGGAGCTCCTCCAGGCCCTCCCCGTCCTTCTCCTAGGGAAGAAATCACAGAGCACAGCTGCACCCAGGTCCCATCATGGGCTTCATCCCTCTCCAGAGGTGCCACTTCTAGGGACCAAGGGCTGCAGCCACCCACTTAAATTTAAGCTGGATTTTTTTCCTACAAGGCAATGGATTTTAGACTTCCCCACCCCTCAGGAGTGTGCATGAGAATGTGCTCCAGCAGTGGAGACAGGCTACCCTGAACCATTCACGTGCTCACTCCAGGCCACCGCAGCCAGCCCCTGTGCATGACGGTCACCTCAGGTAGCTGGAGCCCATGCAGCAGACAGACAGACAGACACACACACACACACATACACGCATCTCTTTCTTTAGCAAAGATGCAGGGGTCTCTGTGGAGAGAGCACAGAGGGTAGCAAAAAGGAGCAGAGGTTTTGGCCAGGTGCAGTGGCTCACGCCTGTAATCCCAACACTTTGGGAGGCTGAGGTGGGTGGATCACCTGAGGTCGGGAGTTCGAGATCAGCCTGGCCAACATGGTGAAACCCCCATCTCTACTAAAATACAAAAATAATAATAATAATAATAATAGCTGGGCGTGGTGGTGCACACCTGTAATCCCAGCTACTTGGGAAGCTGAGGTGGGAGAATCGCTTGAACCCAGGAGACGGAGGTTGCAGTGAGCCGAGATTGCACCACTGCACTGCAGCCTGGGCAACAGACCAAGACGCGGTCTCAAAAAAGAAATAAAGGACAAGAGGAGTGTCTCGGAGGCTCCCAGCTCAGATCCTCCCGTTCCGGCTGCTCCTTCAAGGAGCTCCACAAGAAAACCCCAGGCACCTGCCCGACAGGGACCTCATGCCCAGCTGGCCCCCAGAGCGGACTGGAGAAGAGGGATCCCCACACGCTGAGCCTGCCTCTTTCTCTCCTTCCTTCCACCTGCATGTGATGGGCCAACCATGATGACACATGTTGATTCATTCAGCAAATACAGACTGAAAACCTGTTTTGTGCCAGGCACTGGGTAGGCCCTAAGGAGTCAGGGATGTAATGCACAGAGCCCCTGCTCTCAGAGACTTCCATTCACACAGCCATGCATTCACTCACTCAACAGCGAGCGCCTACCATCACCAAGGTCCTGAGAAAAATACGAAAGGATTCAAGGCATGAATGCAAACTCCTAGAACGTCAAGGCTGGAAGAGAGAAGGCTGGACGCTAATCCAACCCTTTACAGACGGGGAAACTGACCCAGAGAGGTGAACGATTTGCCTGTGTGTTAGCCTGAGGCTATATCCCACACACAAGCCTCCTTCTCCTGCGTGGTACCGTTGCCACCTCCCCTCCAGCATTCCAACGTGGCTCCATAGCCCCTGTACCCCTGCACTGCAGTTAAGTAAATCCTTGCTTCTGAGTGTCCAACTCATCCAGGCACCACAGACCCCATTCAATCCAGGCCTCCAGCAAGGGGATGGGCCCCAGCAAACCAGGGGCGGCCTTCTCACCCACGGTGTCGTGGAGGCGGAGGTGCATTCTGCGGCCACGGATTCTATATACACAGCCCCTGAGAACATCAGGGAAAGAATATGGGAAAGTAGGGCGGGAGGCAGGTGTGAGAACCACTCAGCTCCACACACAAAACACAGACCCAGATTCAAATCCCAACTCTGTGACTTCCTCCCTGAAGACCTTGAACGGGTTTCCTAAACTCTCTCAGTCTCCACTTTCTTATCTGTAAAATGCAGAGAGGATTGGTGCCTGCTTCATGAGGTGGGTGCAAAGCCTCAGGAAAACAGTGCAACGAAGCCTGAGCACACAGTGAATGCTTCATAACGGTGAGGCCAGACCCCTGTCGTCAGAGCTGCAGGCCTCAGGGACACCTGGGGAGGCACCAAGGACACCAGGTCCTTGGGGAGGGAGCCAAGGCAACCAGGGAGCCTGGGCTGCAGCCCAGGAGTATCCGCTACATGGCAGGGAATGCAGTGAGCTGCTGTAGAAGGAGAGATGCCTCACCCAGCAAAGGCAGAGGGAGGAGGCATCTTGGTGACTCAGGAGCCCCAACAGTGGGCATTTGGCTGCCTCATCAATTCACCAGAAATGCAAGGGCTTATTTCTGAACTCTGAATTCTACTGGATCCATCTGTCTGTCCATCTTTATGTCCGTACCACACTGTCTTAATAACCATAGCTTTGCAATACTTTTGTTTTGTTTTGTTCTGTTTTTGTTTTGTTTTGAGACATAGTCTCACTCTGTCACCCAGGCTGTAGTGTAATGGTGTGATCTCAGCTCATGGTAACCTCCACCTCCTGGGTTCAAGCGACTCTCCTGCCTCAGCCTCCCAAGTAGCCGGGGCTACAGGCGCACACCACCACACTGGGCTAATTTTTGTATTTTCAGTAGAGACGGGGTTTTACCATGTTGGTCAGGCTTGTCGCAAACTCCTGACCTCAAATGATCCACGTGCCTCGACCTCCGAAAGTGCTGGGATTACAGGCGTGAGCCATCGCGCCTGGCCGCGATACGTTTTGAAATCAGGAAGAATGAGTGCACCAACTTTGTTCTCCTTTTTCAAGATTATCTTTGAACTTCTATGTGAATCTCAGGATCAGCTTATCCATGTCTGCAAAGAAGCCAGCTGGGATTTTGATGGCAACGGGTTTCCAGTTCCTGGTTCAACCACTCCTGAGCTCTGGCTTTGCTTCCTCCCCTTCAGTTCCCTGGGGCACCCTGCTTTCTTCCCCATAAATTCCATCTTTTGCGTAACCAGATGACACTGGGTTTTTGTTTCTTGTAATCAAAGGAATCTTAACCAATAAAACTCCGAACACAGTGCTACACACTGTCCCAAGCTATCATCCCAATATCGCCTTCCCAGATAATCACTCAGAGACCTCACTGGGGTCCCAATCTCAACCCTGGCCCACGCCCCCAGCTTTTCACTCTACCCTATAACTGGTGCACTTCCAGGTTGCAGATATTATATTTACAAACAGGCCCTCCCTCGATAAGTGCTTGTGAGATTGAACTAGATGTCCCAAAACAGCACCAAAAGAACACTCTGACCACTCTACACCCCTTAGCAGCTCTGCTTCATGCCTGGCGTCTCACTCAGTATGCAAATATGCTCTAGAAAGCTCTAGGAAAACCAGACATTATTGTGTCCACTGGACAAAAGATATGGAAACTAAAGCCCAGAGAAGGGAAGCATCTTGTCCCGGGTGACTTGCCCTGACACCTCCAGATTGAATGGGTCTGCACTGATGCACACACCATGCCAAGCCAGCACAGACATGGGGGTCCTACTATCCTGCTTCATCTCTAAGAGCTACTTTAGAGGCCACCTCCTCCAGGCAGCCTTTCGGGACTACTCCATGGCACTCCTGGCATCAGCTCTAGACTTTTTTTTTTGAGACGGCATTTCACTCTTGTCTCCCAGGCTGTGGTGCGATCTCGCCTCACTGCAACCTCCACCTCCCAGGTTCAAGCAATTCTCCTGCCTCAGTCGGCCGAGTAGCTGGGATTACAGGTGCCCGCCACCGCGCCCAGCTAATTTTTTTTATTTTTAGCAGAGATAGGGTTTCACCATGTTGACCAGGCTGGTCTCGAACTCCTG
Organism: Homo sapiens; assembly: GCF_000001405.40. NCBI lineage: Eukaryota > Metazoa > Chordata > Mammalia > Primates > Hominidae > Homo > Homo sapiens. Next base: position 2,802,498 of record NC_000017.11, on the reverse strand, counting down.
ACCTCAGGCGATCCACCCACCTTGGCCTCCCAAAGTACTGGGATTACAGGCGTGAACCACCACATCCAGCTTCCTGGCATCAGCTCAACAGAGAAACTGAAAGCTCTTGAAGGGCAGGAAAAGTCTGTCCTCCATCCCGGCCCTGCGAACTGCCCAGCCTCACCTTTTTGAACAAAACCAACCAAAGTGGGAAACCTCTTATTTTGACCCTCTTTTATGCCAACCGTCAAGACTGGCCGTACTTTGCCCAGGGACCTGCATCCAGGGGATACACAACCAGGGCTGGCAACTGAATGGCATGACAGAGGGAGACTAGGCAGGGAAAACCTTCTGCCGAGATGGGGGAGTGACAACCCAGAGAAGCTGCCTCGGAAGGAGGGCGATTCATTGGAGGAATTTTCCATGCAACAGTGAATTCACATGTGCCGGGAGAATATTTTGAGCTAGAGGCCAATGCTTTTTTCCTCCTAGAATTTCCCTCCTTTTCAATTCACTCCACTGGAGCAGATGGTTAGCCAGTACTCATTGCCTCATGGGAGGGGTGCAGCTGGACGCAGGCTACACTTTGGTTAAGTCTCAAAAGAAAAAGGAGATCAGGATGCAGACAAAATGGTTTGGCCAGAAACGCAGAGGAAAAAGGAATGAAGGTGGTGAGGGAAGAGAGGTCAGAGGTTCTAGGAGAGGGCTGTGCCTGCTTCGGACCTCAGCAGACGGACCAAGAGATACACGGTAAACCGAGGCAGGTAATTCCCACACCCTGAGTCTGGCGTGGGAGCCTCAGAAAGCCCCAGGGCCAGGCTGCCCATGCTGACATACCTGGCAACAAATGACTTGATGAGCAGCTGACATCACACACACACACACACACACACACACACACACACACACACACACACACACATACCCTGGAGTGTTTAGTCAGGTCCTAGTAGGCGGGGAATGTCAGAAAGTCACTGCCAGGATTGGGAGTTCACATAAAAATTAAAGTGATAAAAAATGTAATTATCTTTCTTTTTTTTTTTTTGAGACAGAGTCTCACTCTGTCCCCCAGGCTGGAGTGCAATGGTGTGATCTCGGCTCAATGCAACCTCCACCTCCTGGGTTCAAGTGATTCTCCTGCTTCAGCCTCCTGAGTATCTGGGATTACAGGCAAGTGCCATCACGCTCAGCTAATTTTTGTATTTTTAGTAGAGACGGGGTTTCACCATGTTGGCCAGGCTGGTCTGGAACTCCTGACCTCAGGTGATCCACCCACCTCGGCCTCCCAAAGTGCTGGGATTACAGGTGTGAGCCACCATGCCCAGCCCAATATATATCTAAAAACTAAAGTGATAGGAAGATAATGGGTCTGGGCTAGGCGCAGTGGCTCACGCCTATAATCCCAGCACTTTGGGAGGCCTAGGTGGGCGGACCATGACGTCAAGAGATTGAGACCAGCCTGGCCAACATGGTGAAACTCCGTCTCTACTAAAAATACAAAAATTAGCCAGGTGTGGTGGTGGGCGCCTGTAATCCCAGCTACTTGGGAGGCTGAGGCAGGAGATTCACTTGAACCTGGAAGGTGGAGGTTGCAGTGAGCAGAGATCATGCCACCGCACTCCAGCCTGGCAACAGAGCAAGACTCCGTCTCAAAAAAAAAAAAAGAAAGAAAGAAAGAAAGAAAAAGAAAAAGAAAAAAAAGAATAATGGGACTGAATGTTACACCTGCTACACACACTCCCACCATTCTAGCCCCTGGTGATTCCATTCCCACCTCTACCTCTCCCTGAACACCCCAGGAATAAGAGTTAGTCCAGCCTCCTCCGATCTGGAAGCACCATGGACTCGGACTGGAATCTGACAAACACGACAGCCCCTCTTGTGTCTCCCACAACCTGGGGGGAGCAAGGGCCCGGCGCTCTGATCCGCGTCATCTCTGACCTTTACAGAACAGGAAATTGCTACTTACTTGACCTTCAGACTTGCCAGCATGGTCTTGTCGATCCTGCCAAGAGAAAAGCAAGGGCTCCGGTCAGTGCTGAGGCTGAAGACTCCTACATAGCATCTGTATGGAGGAGTCCCCGGGACAGCCCAAACCACCAGACAGCAGGGCTCTGTCAGGGACTGGCTAAAGGGGCCAGTTCTCCGCTAGCAGGGGGAGAGACGCCTCTGAGTGCTGGGAGAGCTGGGGCCACACACCACCCTACAACATGCGTATTATTATTCTCCCCATTTCAGAGATGAGGAAACCCAGGCTCAGAAAGGTAAAATCACTGGCCCAGTCTGAATTCAGGTATCTCACGTCAGGTCCAGGGATCGTAAGCACTTTGTATGCAGCCTCTCCCTTTATTACGGCTACCCTCGCAAGAGAACCCAGCAACCCGGCTTCAGGGGTCAGCACGGATGTCAATCTGAATGCCAGGTGGACATCCATATTTCCCAGGCGTCTGCTTTGGGAAGACGCAAGCATCCCCAGCCCCAGGGACCCTCCTGCCCAAGGAGCCACCAGTCCATCCAGGGAGGCAGACCCTGCTCCTGGGGCAGACCCTGGTGGGTTGTATCAGGCACAGAGGTTCAGAGCGGGGAAGATCACGTTTGCTGCAGACTGCCCTCACAGCCAGCTCCTCCATCCCCAGCCTGTGCCCGCCCTCACTGGAAGGGGAGACAGCGCCGCTGAGGTTCTATTTTTACCCCCCTGCATATGCCAGCCCTTATGGCTGGCAAGAAGAGGCCCCTCCTCCCTCTCCAGAGGCAGAAAGGTGGACAGTGTTCCCACTGTCAGTATCTCCTCTTGTGGAAGGGTCGTGACCACCACTGTCACCAGCACTGCCACCAGCACCAATGCTGCCTTTGCAACATCACGATTCGTGTCACCATCACTGTCCATGTCACCACATGTCATCATCAGTGTCACCATCACTGTCAGCTTCACTAAAACTGCCACTGGCTCCAGCATGCTGGAGACCCTGGAGGCTCTTTCCGGCACCCTTCTCTGGCCAGCCCAGCGCTGCCTCAGGCTTCCCACAGTCACAGCTCCAGGGAAGAGGAGAGGACACGGAGCTGAGCCAGCCCACAAGTCACCCTGAGGCCTGGAGCTAGGGGACGGGGTCCTTTCACTCTGAGTAAACTCCCAGCACCTTCTGATCTCAGTTACAACAGCAAAGCAAGCGGCACCCCGAGGGGCCTGGCCCACGTCTCTCCCAGTTTCTTCCTCACACGTCCTCTTGAGTCCCTTCCTTAGGGCTTCCACTACTGGTCCCTGAGGGTCTCACCCTGGAATCCCCACCCGCTCTGGGGTGCAGACCCTCCTCTTCCCCCATTCAACGCACAGACACCCAGATCCGAGCAGGACTCAGAGCCCCACACTCTGCTGTAACGCGTGCAACCCAGAGCTGCCGGATGGCAGCCCCTCACAGCAGGCGCTTAGGTTTTACATTTTCTCAAGGAATCTCCTAATTCTTACAACAGCCCTGTGTTGTGGGTAAGGCAGAAATCCCCCACTGACACAAGGGGAAACTGAGACCCAGAGAGAGGAAGTGTCCCATTAGAGTTCCTCAATGGTCAAGGTGGAGTCGGCGCTGGAACCGCTGGAACCGGGGCTCCTGGTGCGTGCACCTCTGACCGCTGTCGGGTCAGCCCCGCCCACCGCACCACCTACAGGCACCGTGGTCACAGCAGCCCTGGTTCAAACCACGCCTACACAGCAGCCAGCCCACCAGAGTTCCCACATCAGGGTGTGGCCTCAGGAGGGCAGGGCTCTGGTTTTGGAGAGGCTGAGATGGGAGATGGAGAGGACTGTGAGGCTGGGCCTTTCCCTTTCAGGAAGCCAAGGCTCCTGGGCACTCCTCCCTCTCCCATCCCATCCCACCCACCCTCATCACCTTGTCTGCCCCTGGTGCCAGAGGTTATCCACCCTGCATCCAATGGAGCTTGGAAAACACCAGCCCCAGAGATTCTGTTCACTGTCTGGAGGGACCAGGGCTCCAGGAATCCGTGACACCCCCTCCCAGCTGACAGCCATCCCAGATGAGGAGGCCCAAACCCCAGTCTCGCCCCCTTTCTTGCTGCCTTAACCTTCCAAGCCCAGAAGGCCCCGCCATCCCGTCAACCTCAAGGGGCCCCAAGCAGACACCTGCTGTGTGCAAAAGACCTCGATGAGTCCACAAGCATCGACTGAGCCTGTGTGACATGCCAGGCTTCCAGGTGAACGCGACGGGGCAGGGCCTGCCCTCCTGGAACCCACAGCCTAGTGGACACTGAGCCAGCACACAAGGGCGTCTGGGACATCCTAGGGCTCTTCCTCCACCTTCGGCTCACCCTAGACCTCCTGAATCTGAATGTGCATTTCATTAAGGAAGCCCCAGTGAGAAGGGCTGCTAGAGAAGAACTTGGAATTCTGCTTTCTATCTTGGCAGCCCTGGGCAGCCACACTCCTGTCTTCCCCCTCACCTGCCCAGATTCAAATCTCAGGCCTGGCTTTGCCTTGTGCTCTGGAGCTGTGGGTCTCAACACAGAGGGCTTCATATGGAATGAAGCTAGGCTGAGACCGGGACCTGTGCACCCGGAGCTTTCTGGCGACCAGCCTTCCATCTGCTCCACACCTCCCAGAGAAAGGCGGGCCTTGGAGGGCACAATCTAATTGCTGGGCCCTGCCCTGCAAGGCCCACAGCCAAGACACACACACCCCTCCCAACCAGAAGCCAAGTCCTCTGCTGCCTCCCGGACACTGGCACCTACCCTCGGGGTGGCAGCTCCCAGATCCAGGCGTCAGGGAGGGCCCGAGAGCAGACACAGGCGACGCTGTGCCATCTTCTCATCCGCACCATCCCATCTGCCAAACATGGAGTGCCCACAGTCCCCCCCTGCCAGAGGATGGATGGCAAAGTGCTTTTGAAGAGGAGGAAGAGGGAAATAAGCCACACACACGGAAGCGAAAAATTACCGAGGAACACAGCCCCTCTCCCCCTCGCCCTTCGTGCCACCCCCATTAGTCCACCATTTTCCACACCGGGACACCCCCCGGCCACCTCCCGCGGGGCCCTCTCCCAGTCTGACAACGCCCCCAGCCCAGGCACTGAAAGGAAACCGATCATGAAAACCACCAGACTCTGTTCCCCAGCTGCGAAGAAGCTGCCAGCACTGGGAACCAGAGACAAGCCTTTGGCCTTCGTGTGCCTACCTTCTGCCCCCCGCCGGGAAGAAAAAGCACATCCCTCATCCCAGACAGAAGCTTAGAGGCAAGAGTGTCCAGAGGGCCAGGCAGGAGGCTGGGGACAGATGCAGCTGCTCAGGCTAGGACAGAGCTAGGGTGGGCTGCCTGGGGTGCAGGTGGGAGACCTTCTCTCACAACCCACCCCCAAGACAGCAGGCAGCCCAGAGGTCCAGCAGGTACAGACTCCCCTGCCACAAGGCCACAACAACAGCACAGACAGGAGCATCACACACACAAACACGCAGACACAAGCACACACAGACACAGAAGGCCAGAAGTGCAGACAGGCAGCTGCCCACATGCACAGGCACACACCTCACACACGGTCACACGGACTGGCAGTCACAGCCACACACACACGCCTGCACACACAGGCTCAAACGCGCACACACACACTTACACATAATCCCAGACACGCACACACATACATGGGAACCTGCGGACACAGAGACACACACATTCAACTGCAGTCACACTCATGCTATCCACCTCCCCACGGGCAGCCGGCGCAGACCTCCAGGATTCGCCAGCAGATTGTGCCCAGGGACAGTGGGGAAGGCTTACGGTCTCTGATGTCCCCACCAGGATCCTGCATCTCGACCTGCCAGGGCGTCAGCAGACCCAGCTCTCAGGCACAGCCCGAGCCCCTCTGTTCCCACGGCCGCCAATGCACTTAACAAGACTTCACTTCTAAGTTCTCTCCCATCATTCCCCCACCCTCCCACCTGTCACCCACCATCCGAAGCCCCCAAAGGAGACACTGCGCTTCCGGCCAAACATGGTTGTGGCTGCAGAGCCCGGGGTCCCAGCGATGTCCCAACGACGTCCCCGGGGCTGTCCGCAAGAGGGCCGTGGTACAGCGGGGTCAGTGCCGGTGCAGGGCGGGGAGCCCAGCGTGGCACCTCCCTCTTCGCCTGCCCCCAACCCGAGCTTCCTGTGGGTGAGGCTGCAGAGCTGGGAGGTGTGTCCTGCACTCCAGGAGGCACCAAGATAGGCCGAGGAGGTTGTGGAGGGCAGCTTCCCCACACCCAGAGGAACCCACAGCTCCGGAAGGGGCTCGGCTGGCAGATTGCTCCACAGCCCCAGTTAGCAGCCCGGCCCACACAGCCCCAGCTTCCTGGAACCCAAAGGCGCCCCAAGGATTCCCACAGCCACGCCTAGGAGGGACAGAAAGATTCAGCTGGAAGCCTCAGGGACGCCTGAGCACTGGGGACCTTCACACCCACTCCCGAGGGCTGCCTGAGACAGGGACCTTTGCCTGCCTGCCCCACCATGGCTCGGCACACGCCAGAGGAACCAGCCACACACATGTCATTCCACTAGCACACGTGGATGTAAGTATACATGCACACGCATGGGCACAGGGGCACGTGGGATGCACACATGGACACACACACGCCCAGGATACCCAGGTACACACAGATACATGCACGCAGACATACGTATCATTAGACACCTGTACACACCTGAGCACAGCGCGGCACACACGCTCCCGTGCACATCCACACACCACTTCACACAGGCATCAGTAGACACACCTGCACACGCTTCTCACATACTGACAAAGCCCCATTGGACACGTGCACAGACATGAACGCATACACATGTGCCCGCAGGCACTCATCCACATACTCAGACCACATCACACTGCAAGGGGCATTCGCATGTACACACACATGGGCACAGAGCTGTACCTGTCAGCCGCCCCCCACCCCCGCCGCCAAGTGTCTAGACAGAGGTCAGAGCAGTGGCATGCTTCACGCTGGCTGTGTGGGGTGGGGGGGCGGTACCCATGTGCGGGTGGATTTGTCTTCCCAGCTGAACCGCAGGGTTCGTCCTCATCTCTGCATGCTCAGGTGCTGGTCCTCATGCCACAGGGCTAGCGTGTCCTGCACGCATCCCAGTCTGCACACCACAGGGCCAGTGCTCATCTCTGCACGCACTGGTGCTGACCACACCTGGTACACAGCAGGCACTTACTAATGGCAGCCCCTCAAAGGGATGTGGCACGTACACTACAACAGACACTGGGGGGAGTGGGCACAGATAGGGCCCCAGGCCCCACCCTACCCCCAAGCAGTGGAGAAAGGGAAGAAAACGTCTCAAAAAAAAAAAAAGAAGAAGAAGAAAGGCCGGGTGTGGCGGCTCACACCTGTAATCCCAGCACTTTGGGAGGCCAACGCGGGTGGATCACCTGAGGTCAGGAGTTCGAGACCAGCCTGGCCAACATGGTGAAACCCCATCTCTACTAAAAATACAAAAATGAGCCAGGCATGATGGCAGGTACCTATAATCCCAGCTACTCTGGAGGCTGAGGCAGGAGAATCGTTTGAACCTGGGAGGCAGAGGTTGCAGTGAGCCAAGATCATGCTGTTGTACTCCAGCCTGTGCAACAAAGAGCAAAACTCCATCTCAAAAAAAAAAAAAAAAAAAAAAAGGAAAAAAACGGCCCTAGCTGGTGCCATTGGCCTCTCTCTCTGGCCAACCCTCCCTGAAATTTCCTCTCTGGCACCTGCTGCCACTGTGAAGGTCCTAGACTCCGTGCTGAGGTGCCAGGGGCCAACCCCAGCTTGTGGACGAAGGGTACAAGGATTTCTATTTTCTTGACTCCTTCACAGCAGGGGACAGCACAGGGGCCTCAAGCCCTGAGTGGGCTGGGGGAGCAGCTTCAGGGTCCTGGGCCAGAGCAGGGCTGGGGGCTGACTCTCTACCTCCAAGGCAGCTAGTCCCCAGCAGGAGCCCGGAGGCTTCCCCCAACCCTCACCTCTGCCCCAGGAAAGTTAGGATTGTGTGGTTCATGCTCTGGGGTGGCTTCAGGCTGCTGGCTTCCCACAGGATGGCCACTGCAGAGTGCCACAAGCGCCTCTCTCCCCAGAGGCACCCACCCACACCCAGGAAGTGCTCAACAGGTACCGTGGACAACTTGGGTCCTGCCTGCCCTGCCTCCATCTGAGAAGAACCCTCTGCACTCAATCCACCTCCAGGGTCAGGAGTGGGCACCTGACCAGGCCTGGCCAGCCAAGGGGACTGGTTCAGGAGACCTAAGTAAACCCAACAAGACACCATCCCAAGAGGCTTCCCCTGCTGAAGCATGAGATGAAAGCCTGGGGCTGTGGAGAGTGTGGGGAAAATGAAACCGACTCACAGGAAGGCAGAGAAGAGAACTGACAGAGAAAGGGAAAGAGGAGAAAGATCATGTCTTTTTTTTTTTTTTTTTTGAAGAGTCTCGCTCTGTCACCCAGGCTGGAGTGCAGTGGCACGGCTCACTGCAACCTCCACCTCCCTGGTTCAAGTGATTCCCCTGCCTCAGCCTCCCACATATCTGTTTACAGGCGCCCGCCACCACGCCCAGCTAATTTTTGTGTTTTTAGTAGAGACAGGGTTTCACCATGTTGGCCAGGCTAGTCTCGAACTCCTGACCTCCGGTGATCCACCCGTCTCAGCCTCCCAAAGTGCTGGGATTCCAGGCGGGAGCCACCACACCCGGCCAAAAGATTGAGTCTCAAGGGCATCATCTGAGCTCCAGGATCCGGCTGTGCCAGGAACCAGCTGACCCCGGGTATAGGAGAGCCAGCCGTACGAATAAAGAGTTATTCCTAAAGCCAGTATGAGTTGGATTTCTTTCATTCTCCATTAATAAAGTCCCAACTAAAGAAAAGAGCTTGACAAGTGAACAAGTGAAAGTGGGAACAGTCAGCCCACCTGGCCTCCCGCCGCTGACAGCAACACCTGCTCTAGGCCAAGCACCATGCTGGGTGCAGAAAGCACCAGGGTGAGCCAGGTACAGCCCACAGCCTCAGTTGGGAGGTGCTGGGGTTGGAGGTGTTGCATACGTTGCAAGAATTCCTGTTGCAGGCCGGGTGCAGTGGTTCACGCCTGTAATCCCAACACTTTGGGAGACCGAGGCAGGGAGATCACCTGAGGTCAGGAGTTCGAGACCAGCCTGGCCAACATGGTGAAACCCTGTCTTTACTAAAAGTACAAAAATTAGCCGGGCGTCGTGGCACATGCCTGTATTCCCAGCTACTCAGGAGGCTGAGACAGGAGAATCGCTTGAACCTGGGAGGCAGAGGTTGCAGTGAGCCAAGATCACGCCACTGCACTCCAGCCTGGGCGACAAGAGCGAAACTCTATCTCAAAAAAAAAAAAAAAAATCCTGTTGCAAATTACTTTTTTAAAAAATCAGTTAGAGGGAGTTAATGACAGGCCCATCTTTGGAGTATACGTTGATGCGCTTTCATACATGAGAGAGAAGCGGGGTGATAGTCACATCACACTTGGGCACGCCTCACCACCCACACTGACCACATGTGAAAGCTGCCCGCCGCATGCATTCTAGGGGAAGACAAAGCTGACAGATGCTTTTATCTGGGGCCTCCCGGTCTATGGAGACAGCCAGGTAAATGCCCAGCTATGAACACCTGGACCAAGTGTTCCCAGAGCCGGGACAGACTCCGGCCCAGGCACAGACATCTGAACGGCAGCCTGGAGACAGGGAAGGGGTGCGTTTCGAGGCCTCCGCTGCTGCCACCCTGAGGCTGGTTTCCCCCACCGGGGGGTGTGCCCCTGACAGCCACAAACAACACTCCTGAGTCAGACACCCGGCCAAGGAGCAGGACTGGCCCGGCTGCCGGCCCTGCAGAACCCACAGCCTGGACTTCTTCGATGCCGCTGGGATCCAGGAACCTTGGAGAAACCAGGAGGATCCAGGGGCCCACACGTCCCCAGACTGAGGGCTGGAAAGGGGGAAGGGACTCTCCCAGACGGCTCATGGCCCATCATGAGCCCTGCAGGGTGTGAGAGTCTTCCTAGGGCCTTTCCCACGCTGCCTTCCTCTCCTTCCTTGGGGCCCAGCGACCTTGGGCAAGTTACCTAATCTCTCCAGGCCTCAGTTTTCTCTTCTGTAATTTGGGGAGGCTGCCACCACCTTCACGAGTTTATCAGCAAACAGAAACACTGAGCACGGGGCTCCAAGGCCGTCACGGGAGCTGCTATCATTACTGTCAAGGACGATTCTGTCCCTGCTTCAGTCCCGCGCAGCTTCTTGACCCCCTGCTCTGACCCTGTGATTCCTCTTCCATGTGCCGTGCACAGCAAGGAGACTGTGGGCTCCCTGGGAAGGATTGTGAGTCAAGAGACAAGGGAAGCGGCCAGGCGCACTGTCTCACGCCTGTAATCCCAGCACTTTGGGAAGCCGAGGCAAGCGGATCACCTGAGGTCAGGAGTTCAAGACCAGCCTGGCCAACATGGTGAAACCCCACCTCTACTAAAAACACAAAAATTAGCCAGGCATGGTGGCGGGCACCTGTAATCACAGCTCCTCGGAAGGCTGAGGCAGGAGAATCGTTTGAGCCTGGGAGGCGGAGGTTTCAGTGAGCCAAGACCGTGACATTGCACTCCAGCCTGGGTGACAGAGTGAGACTCCATCTCAAAAAAAAAAAAAAAAAAAAGAGAGAAAAGGGAAGCGGTCTGTGAAGCAGGCCCAGCCCTCCTGGCCCCATCAAGCACAGCCCAGCTTCCTCCCAGAGCTCAGCTGACTCTCAGCAGCCAGCGGGGAGAGGAGGATGAGCTGCGGGCACAAGAGAGCCAGGGCAGCACCGGCATCTGTGAGTCTCCTGTGGGCCAGCGCGGACCAAAGCGCTTAGCTTTTCAGCCTCACAACCCCTCTGAGAGGGTGCCCTGTTATCCCATTTTACAGATAGGAACACTGAGGCTCAGGGAAGTGAAGGAATCCAACCAAATTAACCCAGCTTGATGATTATCAGCCCCACTAATTCTGGATCCACAGAAATGCACAGTGCATCAGTGCCCATGTTACAGACAGGAAAAGTAAGGTCCTAAAGCAAAACTCAGCTCATCACTGGGGAGAGAATAATGAAGATGGAAAGAGCAAGTACCCAGCTACCCCCAATGCCTGGCTGGACGGGCTCCTTCTCTCTCAGGCTCAAAACGCTTCCCAGAGCCTGCTGTGGGTCACAGTTCACAAGGGCTGTAGGTGTTTCTCGGGGACCAGCCTGGGGCAAAGTCCCAGCCAGAGTCCCAACCCCAGGGCAGAGCTCCAGGGAACTCACCCAGTTCGATGGGCATTTTTTTTTCTTTTTTAGAGAAGGGGGCTCGTTCTGTCACCCAGGCTGGAGTGCAGTGGCACTATCTCAGCTCACTGCAACCTCCGCCTCCCAGGTTCAAGTGATTCTCCTGCCTCTGCCTCCAGAGTAGCTGGGATTACAGGCACCTGCCACCACACCTGGCTAATTTTTGTACTTTTAGTGGAGATGGGGTTTTGCCATGTTGGCCTGGATGGTCTCGAACTCATGACCTCAAAAGATCCGTCCACCTCAGCCTCCCAAAGTGCTGGGATTACAGGCGTGAGCCACGGCGCTCGCAGCGCCCGGCCTCTACGGGCTTTTGAGGCAGGTAGAGCCAAGAAAGCTGGCTGGGCTCAGAGGAGGGGGCAGTTCAGGCTCCTGTCAGCAGCAGCCCCTCCACTGTGTCCCCTGGCCCTCGGGGCAGGACGGGAGGAAGGGACAATGTGGTTTCCTCTGCTCGAGCAGCTCAGACCTCATAGCCACCAGTGGGAGCTGAAAGATGAGACAAGCTCCTTCCCCAGGCATGGGGATGAGGCAGTTACAGGAAGCTCAGGAAACAGATGTCCCGAGTGAAGCAGGCACTAGGTGGTCTGACCCAGATCCTCCCCCATCCAGACAGTAGTACCCATTCCAGCCCCAGTACTAACCCCCTGGAGCTCAGCTCTCATCCCAGATCCACCTCTAAGTCACTGGGGGCAGGTGACCTACTCTTTTGAGACTTCAGCCTACTAGTCATCCAAGGGGAGACTTAGACTGGCCTCTGCTTCCTTCATAAACCATATGAAGATAAAGGGTGATAGAGAGGTCGGGTGCGGTGGCTCACGCCTGTAATCCCAGCGCTTTGGGATTACACCTGCCAAGGCGGGTGGATCACCTGAGGTCGGGAGTTTGAGACCAGCCTGACCAACATGGAGAAACCCCGTCTCTACTAAAAATACAAAATTAGCTGGGTGTAGTGGCTCATGCCTGTAATCCCAGCTACTCGGGAGGCTGAGGCGGGAGAATTGCTTGAACCCAGGAGGTGGAGGTTGCAGTGAGCTGAGATCATGCCGCTGCACTCCAGCCTGGTGACAGAGGGAGACTCCATCTCAAAACCACCAAAAAAAAAAAAGGATGATGGAGAAAGATGCTGGTCTCCAGGGAAACAGGGCACAGTGGGCATTCAGGGCCAGCAACCCCACATTAGTGAAGAATTCACGCCTCAGGGTCAAGATAAAAACAGCACCTAGCATCTGCATAGTGATTTACAGTCCACAGATCACTGCCCACCTGCACTATCTCAAGGTCCAGACTAAATTTCCCATTGCACAAGTGCTGAAAAGCAAGATGATGGCAGATTGCAAAGGGAGGGCTTGTAAAAACTGAGTTCCAAGAGCAGGGCCCAGACATATACCACAATTGCACAATTTATTTATTTACTTTTTTTTTTTTTTTTTTTTTCAGATGGAGTCTCACTCTGTCGCCCAAGCTGGAGTGCACTGGTGCAATCTCGGCTCACTGCAGTCTCTGCCTCCCAGGTTCAAGCAATTCTCCTGCCTCAGCCTCCAGAGTAGCTAGGACTACCAGTACACGCCACCATGCCTGGCTAATGTTTTTTTTTTTTTTTTTTTTTTTAGTAGAGACTGTCTGTGAGTCGTTTCACCATGTTGGCCAGGCTGGTCTTGAACTCCTGACCTCAGGTGATCTGCCCGCCTCAGTTTCCCAAAATTATTGCAGTTTATTCTTATCTGTTCAGTAAGGTCCATCTGCCAAGAGAGTTTTAGCCACACATGGCTCTGAACTAAAGAAGCTACGAAGTTTACTACAGTTAAAAATTTTAAATAATAACAAGGTATCACTTTTACCCATCAGATAAAGTTTTAAAAATTTGATAATGCCGGCCACGGTGGCTCACACCTGTAATCCCAGCACTTTGGGAGGACAAGGCGGGTGGATCACCTGAGCTCAGGAGTTCGAGACCAGTGTGGGCAACATGGTGGAACCCCCATGTCTACAAAAAATACAAAAATTAGTGGGGCATGATGGCAGGCACCTGTAGTCCCAGCTACTTGGGAGGCTGAGGTGGGAGGATCACTTGAGCCCAGGAAGCAGAGCCATGATTGGGCCACTGCACTCCAGCCTGAGTGACAGAGCCCAGACCCCATCTCAAAAAGAAAAAATTGATAATTGTGTAAAGGTATAAGGAAACGGGCGTCCCATTAATGTGTAGCTATTGGGCAATATCTCTGTGCTGGTTAAATTTATGTGTCAATTTGACTGGGCTAGGGGATATCTCCATAGCTGTTGAAATATTATTTCTGGGTATGTCTGTGAGTTGTTTCTGGAAGAGATTAGCCTTTGAATTGGTAGACTAAGTAAAGAAGATGCCGCTTTACCAATGTGGGCCGGCATCAACCAATCCACTGAGAGCTTGAATAGACGAAAAATGTGGAGGAAAGGAGAGTTCATTCTCTGCCTGAGCTGAGAACCCGCCTTCTCCTGCCCTCAGCTATCAACGCTCCTCGTTCTTGTGCCTTAGGACTTGGACTAGAACATACCACCAGCTTTCCTGGATCCCCAGCTAATAGACGGCAAATCATGGGACTTCTCGGCCTCCAAAATTGCATTAACCTGATGGGGTGCAGTGGCTCATGCCTGGCTGGGGCTCAGTAATCCCAGCACTTTGGGAGGCCAAGGCAGGTGGATCACTTGAGGTCAGGAGTTCGAGACCAGTGTGATCAACATGGTGAAACCCACGTCTCTACTAAAAATACAAAAAAAAATCTGGGCATGGTGGCGGGCACCTGTAATCCCAGCTACTCAGGAGGCTGAGGCAGGAGAACTGCTTGAATCAGGGAGGTAGAGGTTGCAGTGAGCTGAGATTGTGCCACTGCACTCCTGCCTGGGCAACAGAGCCAGTCTCTATCTCAAAGCAAACAAACAAAAAAACCCCACAAAATTGCATGAACCAATCCCTCATAATAAATCTAAACACACACACACATACACACACACCCCTATATACATATGTATATATTTCCTATTAGTTCTATTTCTCTGCAAAGCCCTGACTAATACACTCTATCAAAATTGTTTAAGTGCACATACCCTTTATGCCAACAATTTTGTTTTTAGAAATTTATTGCACAGGTTAACTCATACCACTTGACAAGATCTATGTATACAGATGTTAATCATATCATTATAATAGCAAATTCAAAAAATAATCTAAATGATCATCAACTGAGGATTAACTACATTGCAGAATAAGCGTACAATGGAATACTATCTAGCCACTGAAAATAACGAGGTAGCACTTAATATATGTTAATATATGAAGATATGCTAAAAGTTCAAGTTTTAAAAAACAGGCACAGGCTGGGCGCGGTGGCTCATGCCTGTAATCCCAGTACTTTGGGAGGCCGAGGCGGGCAGATCACGAGGTCAGGAGATTGAAACCATCCTGGCCAACATGGTGAAACCCCATCTCTACTGAAAATACAAAAACTTAGCCAGGTGTGGCGGCATGCGCCTGTATTCCCAGCTACTCGGGAGGCTGAGGCAGGAGAATTGCGTGAACCTGGGAGAGGCAGCTTGCAGTGAGCTGAGATGGCGCCACTGCACTCCAGCCTGGGCGACAGAGCAAGACTCCATCTCAAAAAAAACAAAACAAAACAAAAAAACAGGCTCAGCGTGTGGTGACTCACACCTGTCATCCTAGCACTTTGGGAGGCCAAGGCAGGGGGATTGCTTGAGCCCAGGAGTTTGTGACCAGTCCCAGCAACATAGTAAGACCCCATCTGTACAAAAATTTTTTTAAATTAGCCAGGCATGGTGCTGTGCACCTGTATTCCCAGCTACCTAGAAGGCTGATGTGGAAGGATCACTTGAGCCCAGGAGGTTGGGGCTGCAGTAAAGACCACTGCACTCCAGTGTGGCCAAAAAGCAAGACTCTGTCTCGAAAAAAAAAAAGAAAAAAAAAAAAAAACCAAAGCTGGGCATGGTGGCTCACACCTGTAATCCCAGCACTTTGGAGGCCATGGTGGGGTGGATCACTTGAGGTCAGGAGTTCGAGACCAGCCTGGCCAACATGGTAAAACCCTGTCTCTACTAAAAACTACAAAACTAGCCAGGTATGGTGGCATGCGCCTATAACCCCAGCTATTTGGGAGGCTGGGGCAGGAGAATGGCTTGAACCCGGGAAGCGGAGGTTGCAGTGAGCAGAGATCGCGCCCCTGCGCACCAGCCTGGGGACAGAGCGAGACTCCATCTCAAAAAAAAAAAAAAAAAAAAAAAGGCTGGGAGCGATGGCTCACGCCTGTAATCCCAGCAGTTTGGGAAGCCAAGGTGGGTGGATCACTTGAGGTCAGGAGTTTGAGACCAGCCCTGCCAAGATGGTGAAACCCCGTCTCTACTAAACACTACAAAAATTAGCCGGGCATGGTGGCACCTGCCTGTAATCCCAGCTACTCAGGAGACTGGGGCAGGAGAGTCGCTTGAATCCGGGAGGCAGAGGGTGCAGTGAGCCCGAGACCACGCCACTGCACTCCAGCCTGGGCAACAGAGTGAGACTCCATCGCAAAACATTAAAAAAAAAAAAAATTGAAGAAAAAAAAAGAAAAGAAAGGCTTGGACCGTGGGGGCTGTCTGAAGGAGCTTCTCACTAAAGGAGAACACACAGCCAACTCTGCCCACACCCACCCAGCTGGGTCACTCCCGCCCTCCCCTGCTAAGGCGGGGCACCTGGCGCCTCCCAGGACCGGCCAGAAGGTGGGCGTTTGCGCCCTCTGCAGGCAAGCTTGGGTGGTGCGAGGAGGAAAGGGAGCGTCTTCCTGGGCTTGTTTCTAGGATGGCAGCCATGTTGCCCTCTGGCGGAAGGGGTTGAAGGGAGGGGGAAATCCTCCTCCTGCAAAAGATAAGCAACCACCACCTGGTGTCAGAACACACGGATTCCAGCCCCAGTCCTGACATTAAATGTAGCTGTGAGGAAACCACTTAAACTCCCTCTGCCTCAGGTTTTTCATCTGTAAAGAATAACTCCAGGCTGGGCGCGGTGGCTCACGCCTGTAATCCCAGCACTGTGGGAGGCCGAGGCGGACGGATCACCTGAGGTCAGGAGTTCGAGATCAGCCTGGCCAACATGGTGAAACCCCGTCTCTCCTAAAAATACAAAATTAGCCAGGCATGGTGGCACATGCCTGTAATCCCAGCTACGCAGGAGGCTGAGGCAGGAGAATCGCTTGAACCCGGGAGGTGGAGGTTGCGGTGAGCCGAGATCTGACCACTGCACTCCAGCCTGGGCAACAAGAGCAAATCTCTGTCTAAAAAAAAAAAAAAAAAAAAGTCATACTTTTTACTTCCTTTCATCTTTACCATACCACAGTCTCCCTCCTGGTAAGTAACTGGAGCCTCAGAGAGGTTAAGAGACTCGTCCAAGGTCACAGTGTAGCAGGACGAGCCACAGACAAAACTCCTCAGACACCGGATTAAAGAAGGAAGAGGTTTTTATTCGGCCGGGAGCATCGGCAGACTCGCGTCTTAAGAACCGAGCTTCCCGAAAAAGAAATTCTTGGCCTTTTTAAAGGCTTACAACTTAAAGGGGTCCACGTGAAAAGGTCGTGATACATCAAGCAAGCGTGGGAAATGTGACTGGGAGCTACATGCATCAGCTAACAGAACAAAAAGTTTCACAATGCTTTTTTCATACAGTGTCTGGAATTTACAGATAACAAAAGTAGTTTAGGTCAGGGGTTGATGTTATAATTATCACTTTTTTTAACTCCTAGGGCCGGGTGGTGGTGCCAAGGTTGTCTGGCTATTTATCTTACTTTTTTTTTTTTTCCAACTTTTTGCTTTTTCTCTCCTCCTATCTTGTGAACTAGGCAAGGTGGGGGCAGGAGGGCAGCAGGAGGAGCAGTGGTCTCCTTCCTTAACAGGGCTGGAAGGTGACAGAATTCAAACCCAGAGTCCCCCTTTGAGCCCTTCTGCCATTCCTTCAGGGAAGGCTCAGAGGAGAGCAGGCCCTAAATGAGGGCTGCGTTAGATGGGAGACACTGCCAGGCTGGGCTCGTGCAAACCCCCAGATTCTTCCTGGGCCCCCTGCCAACGCTCTGCTCAGGAGCAGCCCTAACCTGGGCCACAAGGAGCAAACCCTGAGATTCCTCCCTGAGGCCAGCAAGCGAGGCAGGGGGATGATGCCGCAGGGGGATGATGCCGCAGGCAGATGAACAGTGACTCAGGTGGAAGCAGGCGGCAGGGACAGGGAGAAGCGGAGAGCTCCCTCAGCTCAAACACAGCATGTTCAGGCCTCACCATCTTGATTTTTCCTGGATAAAGATGGGGGTCTGGTGGGGTTCATCCCAGCCCCAAGCCCAGAGCAATTCTGCCTGAGCCCCACCCTCATGGTATCTCCATCAGCAACATGTGTCCCAGGCCCCTTGAAGGGAGCAGGGCTGACCTGTAATGAGATAATAAACTGGGACAGAAAAGGCCTTTCCCATTCAAGTTCCCCCTTCTCTCATTACGGGCCCCACCCTCAGCAGGGCTCTGCACAGTAAGATGCCTCCTGGACTACATGAGAGTAGGCGGGGATCTGGGGACAGACCCAAGCCTCACCTGTGGCCAGGGGATCAGTGAGCAAAAGTGTAGCTGCTGCTAAAAGAATAAACTGCTGGCCGGGCGCGGTGGCTCACGCCTGTAATCCCAGCACTTTGGGATGCCGAGTCGGGCGGATCACTTGAGGTCAGGAGTTCAAGACCAGCCTGGCTAACATGGCAAGACCCTGTCTCTACTAAAAATACAAAAATTAGCCAGGTGTCATGGCAGGCACCTGTAGTCCCAGCTATTTGGGAGGCTGAGGCAGGAGAATCGCTTGAGTCCGGGAGATGGAGGTCGCAGTGAGCCGAGATCACGCCACTGTACTCCAGCCTGGGCGACAGAGCGAGACTCTGTCTCTAAATAAATAAAAATAGGCCAGGCGTGGTGGCTCACGCCTGTAATCCCAGCACTTTGGGAGGCCGAGGAGGACAGATCACAAGGTCAGGAATTCGAGACCATCCTGGCTAACACAGTGAAACCCTCGTCTCTACTAAAAATACAAAAAATTAGCCTGGCGTGGTGGCATGGACCTGTAGTCTCAGCTACTTGGGAGGCTGAGACAAGAGAATCACTTAAACCCGGGAGGTAGAGGTTGCAGTGAGCCGAGATTGCGCCACTGCATTCCACCCTGGGCAACAGAGCAAGACTCCATCTCAATAAATAAACAAATAAAATAAAAAGTGAAATAGCTTCCACCTGGCTCTCTTTCTGGGCATGCTTGTCCCTTAGCTCAGCCACCATGCTGGGAGGAAGCCCAATCTAGCATGTGGAGACAGCACATAGAGAGGCCCATGTGCAGAGGAACTGACCCAAAGCCAACAGCCAGCAAGAAACGCCAGACGTGTGAGCGACTAAGCCTTCAGATGGCTTCAGCCCCTAGACCTTGAAACACTCCAGACAATGCTGAGTGGAGAAGCGTTATCCCCACTGAACCCTGCCCATGTTGCAGATTCATGGGCAAAATCAGTGTCACCAGTGTTTTAAGCCATAAGCTTTGGGTGGTTTATTAAGCAGCATTAGATAACCAGAACACTGGCAGGACCAGAATTTGAACCAAGCAAGCTGGCTCCAGAGCCTGTGCTCCTGCCACTCTGCAACAGTCCCTGTTGTGTAAGAGACAGTATATAGGAGGGATTTCAAGCTTAGGTCTGGAGTCAGTCCTCTCTTCATTCATTAATTCATTCATTCATCAAATGTTTATTGCATCCCTACTGTGTTCCAAGCTGTCTTCCAGTTCTAAGAATATTTTAGTAAGCAAGACAGACAGGTCCCTGCTCTAGGTGGGGAAGAGGGGGTTAGGAAGTAGAGGATAAATGAGGGCTACCTTTATGCAGGTATTTACAATAGGGTGATCCGATCCAAATGGGACCAGATGGCTAGGGAGTCCTGTGTAGAGGGGGTGATCTGGGATGGCCTCTCTGAGAGGGAGACTGCCAAGACGAGACGGACACAGCTTCACAGCTTTGTGAAGAGCGGAGGGAACAGCAGAAGAACGGGTCTGGGTTCAGAACCCGGCTCCATCACTTACTAGCTGTGTGACCTTGTGGAAGTAACCCAGGCTCTCTGAGCCTCTACTTCCTCATAAAATGGGAAAACTTCCTCATAAAATGGGGATGGTTTGTTTGTTTTGAGACGGAGTCTTACTCTGTCACCCAGGCTGGAGTGCAGGGGCACGATCTGGGCTCACTGCAGCCTCCACCTCCCAGGTTCAAGAGATTCTCCTGCCTCAGCCTCCAAAGTAGCTGGGATTACAGGTGCTCACCACCACACCCGGGTAATTTTTTGTATTTTTAGTAGAGACGGGGTTTCACCATGTTGGCCAGGCTGGTCACGAACTCCTGACCTCAGATGATCCACTCACCTTGGCCTCCCAGAGTGCTGGGATTACAGGCATGGGCCACCGCGCCTGGCCAGGGATGTTTTCGAACCCACCTAATAGGACCTACTATCCCCTGGGATGGGATTGTTCTGAGGAGTAAATGAGCTGATTACATGTACAGTGTGTAGTCCAGGGCCTGGTGCAGGAAGAGCTCCATTAGTACCAGTGATTATGGTGAGATAAATTATGCTAAGGCCAAGGCCCCCATTGGATGCCCGGAGCCCCAGAGACCACTCTGCTCCCCATCAGAAACTGTGCCAACCAAGGCTACTGGGGAAGAGTATGAAGGTAAGGGAGCCTCATCACAGCTGCACTGGTGCCCAAGCCACTGAGGGCGGGTCAGGTGGAGGGGGGCAAGAGCACACACTTCCCTACAGCATGCTGACACACAGGCCACTTCTGCCCACCCCCTGCAGCCATCCCTGACTCATCTCCTCAACTCAGAGCTTGAGCCCATCACCCTCAGCTCAGAGCTCGGGAGGATGGGGCTGGAGGCTGGACTTGCCGTCCCTCTTCAGGCCCTGCCCAGAAGGCAGTGGACGCCCACACAGCCAGAGGGGGAGAAGCAACTTCCTCAGACAGAGGGAGAAACAGGATAAGGAAGCCTGGAGAGAGGGCGGGATGGGGCATGGCAGAAGACTCAAGGGAGCCTCCGTGGGGGCAGGAAATCCTGCAGGGAAAAAGTATCACCTGCCATCCAGATGGGCACACTCTTGAGAACCCTGGAGACACCCAGTAGGTGGCTGGCACACATATCCAGAGAAAGTACCCATGAACAACCCAGAGCACACAACAGTGCACACACAGAGACATGCACACACAGAGACCTGCCCACACAGAGACGTGCCCACACAGAGACCTGCACACACAGAGACGTGCACACACAGAGACGTGCACACACAGAGACCTGCCCACACAGAGACGTGCCCACACAGAGACCTGCACACACAGAGACGTGCACACACAGACGTGCACACACAGAAACGTGCACACACAGACGTGCACACACAGAGACGTACTCACACAGAGACGTGCACACACAGAGACGTGCTCACACAGAGACGTGCACACACAGAGACCTGCACACACAGAGACGTGCCCACACAGAGACCTGCACACACAGAGACGTGCTCACACAGAGACGTGCTCACACAGAGACCTGCACACACAGAGACGTGCCCACACAGAGACCTGCACACACAGAGACGTGCACACACAGAGACGTGCTCACACAGAGACGTGCTCACACGGTGCACACACAGGGGTGTGCTCAGAAGAACCACAT
The DNA here is from genome assembly GCF_000001405.40 of Homo sapiens. Taxonomy (NCBI): domain Eukaryota; kingdom Metazoa; phylum Chordata; class Mammalia; order Primates; family Hominidae; genus Homo; species Homo sapiens. The sequence goes on along the minus strand of NC_000017.11, from coordinate 2,781,481 downwards.
ATAACCACCCAGAGATGTCCAGACACAGCAATCCAGCAACAAGCCCTCCAAGGCCACACGTGCACACCAAGCACAGATGTGTCCACATGCACAGGCACACCTCAGTGTTCCCGACTGCCTGTCACTCCCTGTCTCTCCCCTCCTGCTCTTGCTCTCCACCAGCCATCTAATCGGCAGGGCCCTGACTGTGCCAGAGTCCCCCAAGTGCCCATGCCTGCTGCCATCTGCTTGCTGACCCAGACCTGGCAGAGCGCAGCCAGCAGGCCCAGCATGGTCCAAGAAGGAGGCCAGTAATCCTGGATCTGAACTAGGGAAAGGAGTGGGAACCAGCTGGCCCTGAGAGCAAGCTGCAAAAGTCCAGAACCAGAGCGTGGCCGGGGCCAGGGGCTCGGCACAGCCTTGTATCGTTGGCATCACACCTGCCTTGGGTGCCCCTGCGACTGCTCCAGATCATGAGCAGGTAGACAGGAATGCCCTTAGAACCATCTGGAATCCCTGAAGGGTTGCAACAAATAGAAAATCAGAAACACAAAACACACCCAAAAACAGTACAGCATGTCAGGCTGAGATCAGACATGAGGCAGAACTTCCTACTGGACAGGCACCAAAGCACTGAGAGAGGTGTGGACAAGAAGAGTATCATCCATGAGATGCCCGCTTTAAAAGGGGAGCAGATGAATAGGCTAGTATCATTGCTTTATTTTTCATTAAACTTATTAAAAACAAATTGCAGAGATCGGAGTAGACTTTAAATGGCTGTAATGAAGACGGCGGCTGCTGGGTCTCCCAGCATAGGCTGGGTGTGACCCTGCCTGCAGGCAGAGGGATGAACGCAGTGACCTTTGTAAGGCCAGCCTGAGCTGGCCATGTGTGAGCAAAGAGGCAGCTGGACACCTTCCCCACTCTGTGACCTCTCCTGGGGGGGGTGCACATTGCTCAGAGATGGGAGAGGGTAGGCAGACAAGGCCCACCATGCCACCATGGCAACAGGCCTTGGCAAAGGCACCTGTGGACCTTCTCCAATCGCCGCTCATAACAGGAACTGTTTGCAAACAACTCCTCCCCTGTCAAACGGGGCGGTGGCCTGGGAGGGGCAGGTGGACACCGTGGAAAAAAGGATGAAGAGACTTTTGCCAGAGGCGGCGGCTCCCGCCTGTCACCCCAGCACTTTGGGAGGCCAGGGCGGGCGGATCACCTGAGGTCAGGAGTTCGAGACCAGCCTGACCAACATGGAGAAACCCTGTCCCTACTGAAAATACAAAAATTAGTAGGACGTGGTGGCGCACGCCTGTAATCCCAGCAACTCGGGAGGCTGAGACAGGAGAATCACTTGAACCCAGGAGGCGGAGGTTGCGGTGAGCCGAGATCGCGCCACTGCACTCCAGCCTGGACAACAAGAGCGAAACTCCATCTCAAAAAAAAGGAACGAGGAGGCTTGTGGATGCTGTACCACGAACTACGAACACTGCCCCAGTTTACGCCCTAGGAAGGCCCAGCTAGACCTCACCCAATGCCCTCCCTTCCTTCCTGCCACCTCATCCCCCTCCCATTTGGTTACCACCACCCCAGACGCTGTGAATCCCCATACGCCAAGGCTGCCCAACCCACTCCCTGTCCCTGTCTCTTCCATGCTTCTTGGCCACCTTCTGCCAACCCGCTCACCTTCCTTTCCTGCCCCCCCCCAGCCCCCTGCCTTGTCCTCCCCCACTGACTATGGCCCAGACCCATGCCCATGACCGTATGCCAGCTCCCAATGCCAGAAATGCCAGCATCCACCCTCCCTCCACTCCTCCTTCAAGCACCTGCTTCTGAGCTGTCCTCTCCCCTCGCCCTCCTCTGCCCAGTGCTGGCCTCTGTGTCCTCCTGAGGCAGAGCCCAGGAAGAGGTATATCTGAGCGGCCAGCCCAGGAGCAGGACATCGCTGACTCCAATTCATAGGCTGTGAAATGGAAGCATTCAGGAGGTCTGGGAAACTGGGCCACAGCCCTAGAGGAACTGACCAGGTCAGCAGTCTGGCCCCTGAGCCCCAGGTCCTATGACCGGGAGGGGTCTTTAGAGGTCCTCTTATGCGGACCCACCTCCACTTGAGTGAATGACTATCTGAGCCACCCTGGGCATGTGGTCTTCCTGGCCACACAGAAATACCCCGGGTGAAGCCCTTGCTATGGGGCCATCACCATGTTCAAAAATTCAATAAATGCCTTATTAACACTTAAAACACCCAGCTAAGGAAACCGAGGCTCAGAGAAGTCAGGTAATTTGGCCAAGGTCACGCAGTGTTAGGCACCTCAGTGTGCTGCTTCCAGCCCTCTTGGCCCCACCTCTCACTCCAAACACTTCTGCAATGACCAGGTCCCCACAGGCTCCAAGCAGCATCTTACAGGTGCAATGGGACAGTGCTTCATGTCAGGCCACGCTGGGCCTTCTTGGAAGCTGCCGTGTGGAGTACCCACAGGGAACCACTTGAGCCCCACACATGTGCAATCTGGAAGTCCACACGGGAGCGAATGTCCACAGAGCCACCCTTGTCTGGCAGGGGATGGGGCTAATGGGTAAGTGCTTCCCTGTTTCTCTCCCCAACAGAGCAGTTCTGTCTGTAAGGCTCCTCAGAACACCGCCCAGGAGAGTGGTGGGAATAATCAAATTGTTGCTTCCCCTCCCTCTCCTTCAAACCCCATGTCCTCGCCCTTGTTTCCTGAGATTGCTTCCCAAATAAGCCACAGCCTGCAAGCCTTTCTCTCGGGCTCCCATTGAGGGGAATGCAGGTGCGGCCACAGCAGTAGGTGATGGAGCTGGGACTTACGCCCAGGTCTGAGTGACAGCAGGGCCTTCATGCTTAGCCACTATGTGACCCTGCCACCACCCCCATCCATGCCAGGGTCCCTTTCCCTCAAGGCTCAAGTCATTCTGAGCCATGGTGGCTCAGCCAGAGTTGATCAGACAGGGTCATGGGAAAGAGGGTGAGGAGAGCTGCAAGCGTGCCTCCAGCAGCAGGGTCCTCTTCTCTGGAGCTGAGGCCACCTCCCACCAAATTGCCTCAACATGCTGAGCTGAGCAGTCCCACTTAGACCAGCCCCGACCCTACCCAAGCTTAGCATCTGTCTCTGCCCAGTAACATCAAACACAGGAACCAAGAGAGGCTGCTGTAGCACTTCAGCTCCCGCCCCCGCATCCCACCCAGCTACCAGGCCCCCCAGCCCCATCCCTCTCCAACTACTTGATATCTGGGAAGAAGGAGGGACCAGAGGCAGCTTCTTGAAGCCTGAGCAGCCAAATCCAACAGATGCCCACCCCACCCCACCCCAGGACTCAGAAAACCCAGCACCACAGCTTGGAGCTGAGGGCAGAGCCTCCCCCAACTCCTGCCCAAGTCGAGAAGATGTGCTGGGACTTTCGCCTGAAAAATCGCTGCCCAAGACCTCACAGACCCTGAGTCACTCCCCGCCTCCCAGCCTCCCAGCCTCCCCGCCTCCCAGCCTCCCAGCCTCCCCGCCTCCCAGCCTCCCAGCCTCCCCGCCTCCCAGCCTCCCAGCCTCCTGGCAGCTGTGCAAGCTGTTTACTCCCCACCCTGCAACAGGAAGAAGGGGGAGGGCAAAGCGCCATGGGAAACTGAGGCGTATAGGGCTTGAGGGATGGCCCCAGGGTCACAACGCAGGCAAAGAACCCAAGAGCCCTGGCACCTGGCTCAGGACAACTCTCTCATTCCCCATGGAGGCTTCTCTGATGACAGCCCCTCAACAGGGCACATCCCAGCAAACCCCACTGGCATACAAGTGCCCTTCAGGTTTGTTAACAAGCATGTAGGGGGAGCTATAGAAAACAAATGAGAGGAAGCAAGGGTATCCCTCAGCCAGCTCCCAGGTCCAGACACACAGCACCTGGTGCTGGCAAAGCCAGAGGACAGTCTACACGGACCCCTGAGGTCTCCTGAACACACGCCTGCCCTGGACCCCCCACTCAGGGCCGGCACCCCCACACCCATCCAGGCCTCTGGAAATGAGGATCAGGCTGAAATCGGGCCCCGCTCCCAAAGATCCCTCAAGGCCTCTCAGCCGGCAGCCCACCTCCCTAGCTCCTCTTCCTGCAATAGGCACAGGCTGGAGCGAGGATGGGATGGGGGGTTTCAGGAAGCCCAGCCTAGCTCCAGGGTCCTCCTGGGGTTCCTGGCTGTTTTCCTTCTACCACCACCTGTAAACACCCTACCTCTGACCTCCATCCCGGTCAGCTTCTCTCGCCAGATCCTGACAGGGGCTGCACACCTCACGCACGCACACACACCCTATAGGTGGACGTGTGTGCAGCGCCCCGCCCGCGGGGGTTTCTGAGGACGGTCACCCCACCTCCCCAGCACAGCCTGTGACGCCGGATGGCTCCTCCGGAACGCAGTACCGGCTCGCGCCGTCCATACGTGCCGATGTCTGTCTGCAAACACACGCGTTCACACTCCACACACGCTCCGATTCCCCGTCAGTCACACCAGGACTCACGTCCCGATCCAGGCTGGCTGCGGAATCCCAGCCCCGGGGCCACTGACCTTCTGCGCCGCCTGGCGCGCGGCTGCCTCTGGACCCGGAGCGAAGGGCACCTCAGTCCCCGCGGTCGCCCCCTCCCTCGGCCCAGCCCCCTCCTCCTCCTCCTCCTCCTCCTCCTCCTCCTCCGGGGCGGCGGGGTCCCTCGCAGCAGTCCTGCCGCGCACGCGCGCACCCCGGCCGGCCCCAGCGCACAAAGCCGCGCCCTCCGCAGCCGCCACCGCCCGCACACCTGGCGCCCCTCGCCGCCGCCGCCGCGCACGCGCAGCCGGAGCCCGCGCCGATCCAGGGTCCGGGGTCCTCGTGCTCCCGCCCTCGCCGCGCCTCCGCCACCCGGGGCGCGCCCTGGTCCCTGTGCCGCTGCCTGCGGATCGCCTGGCGCAGCCGCGGAGAGGGGGCGGAGGGGCGGGCACCGGGAGGCGGTGGCAGGGGGTACAGCGGGTCCTGAGCTCCCTGGGGGCTGCCCAAGGCGGCTCCTCCGGAACAAAGGCGCGGGGCGGGGCAGGTGCACCCAGAGGACCCGGGGAGAGAAGGAGCAGCCTGCCCGCCAGGGGTTCCTGGAAGATGCAATGGGGGCAATGGGGGCAATGGGGAACCGAGGTGCGGTGAGGCCTGGGGGCTCCTGATCTACTGAGGAAGATACTCTGGGGCTCCCTCTAGCTCTGCGTTGCGCGGGACCCGGGACGGGGTACAGAACGCTATGCTGCGAGTCTCCAGGGCTGCTCAGACCCCTGAAACTCCCCGCTGCCTGGGATCTGGAGGCTGGACTTTTATGAGACAGAGTCTTGCTCTGTCCCCCAGGCTGGAGTGCAGTGGCGCGATCTCGGCTCACTGCAACCTCCGCCTCCCGGGTTCAAGCGATTCTTGTGCCTCAGCCTGCCGAGTAGCTGGGATTACAGGCACCCGCCACCATACCCGGCTACTTTTTGTATTTTTAGTAGAGACGGGGTTTCGCCATGTTGGCCAGGCTGGTCTCAAACTCCTGGCCTTAGGTGATCCACCCGCCTCGGCCTCCCAAAGTGCTGAGATGACAGGCATGAGCCACCGCGCTCGGCCTGGAACTTTCATTCATGCACTCCATAGACATCCCCCCAGCTTCCGCCAAACCAAGGATGCTCCTGAACGTGAAGGCGTAGAAGGAACGAAGGGTCCTCTAGCCAACCTTTGGGATGCTTGAGTCTCATCCTCAGTAACCTCCGTGGACAGCGGCCTTTGACTATGGCTTAGTGATGGGAAGTTCTCTCCCTCGGGGCAGCCCACTCCATCCTCAGGCAGCTCTAAGTGCTAGAAAGCCGTTCCTTTAATTGCACAGAAGTTTTCGCTTCTGTCTGTGGGTCATGGCCTCCTGACCCTGTGGATCATGACTCTGCTCTAGCTACAATGGCCTTCTGCTTCTAGAACAGCCTTGCACTTGCTGCTCCCCCTGCAGAAGGACTCTTCCACCCCATGCCCCGTGCCCCCTCCCCACCACCCACTTAACACCTCTCACCAGCAGCTTCTTTATGTGGTCGCCCCTGTGCCCTTCAGGACTCAGCTCACATGTCACTTTCTTGGAGAGGACTTCCACCTCTTCCAGAGTCCCCACACACCCACTGGCTGCTCATGATCTCGATGCCCTGTGTGAGTTTCTTCAGCACGCTGGTCATATTGGGAAATTCTCTTGTCTCTGCGTTTACATGTTTATCGTCTGTCTCTCCCACTAGAATGTGTGGCCCATGGAGGCAGTACCCTGGTCTTCCTTGAGGGCCTGACCCAGAGCAGGATCACAATGGATAGTTGTGGGAGAAAGAAAGGATAGCAGGGAGGCTGGGCAGGGTGGCTGGCCGGGCGCGGTGCCTCACACCTGTAATCCTAGCGCTTTGGGAGGCTGAGGCGGGTGGATCATTTAAGGTCAGGAGTTCAAGGCCAACCTGGTCAACATGGTGAAACCACTGTCTCTACTAAAAATACAAAAAAAAAAAAAATTTAGCAGGGCATATTGGCGCATGCCTGTAATCCCAGCTACTCAGGAGGCTGAAGCAGGAGAATTGCTTGAATCTGGGAGGCGGAGGTTGCAGTGAGCTGAGATCGCATCACTGCACTCCAGCCTGGGCAACAGACCAAAACTCCATCTTGGGGAAAAAAAAAAAAAAAAAAGGATAGCAGGGAGGCCAGGTATGGTGGCTGGCTGGGCGTGGTGGCTGGCTGGGCATGGTAGCTCACACCTATAATCCCAGCACTTTGGGAGGCCAAGGTGGGTGGATCACCTGAGGTCAGGAATTCGAGACCAGCCTGCCAACATGGTGACCCCTATCTCTACTAAAAATACAAAAATTAGCCAGGCATGGTGGGGGAGTGCCTGTCGTCCCAGCTACTCAGGAGGCTGAGACAGAAGAATCGCTTGAACCGGGAGTCGGACATTGCAGATCGCACTACTGCACTCCAGCCTGGGTGACAGAGCGAGACTCCATCTCAAAAAAAAAAAAAAAAAAACGATAGCAGGGGTGACCAGCCCATAGTCCCATAGTCCTATCAGCAGCCCGTTCCATCACCCAGAAATACAACTGCTCAGCTGTTCAAGGGGGACACCTGGCACAATGTCTGGCAGAGGAACGGCATTCAATCCATGCCCACCAAATAAATGAACAAGCAAAGGAACATTCCTCATAGAGCCTTGGCCTCAGAACAGCAGGACCTTCTCTTCCCTCACTCTGGACTCTGCCCTGAGCTCTTGCAGCCTCAAAATGTAAGCGTTTTCTTTGGTAGACACCTAACACATGGGGCCATACCCAAGCTTCTACTCCATGGGAACCCTTCAGACAATTCTGATTCCTTCACCCTGCTGCCCAGGTGCAAACAGGATTAGAAACCAAAATACATTTATCCTTTACCCCTGTTAAATTGTGTCTACTACCTGGCCAGGCACGATGGCTCATGCCTGTAATCCCAGCACTTTGGGAGGCCGAGGCAGGCAGATCACCTGAGGGCAGGAGTTTGAGACCAGCCTGGCCAACATGGTGAAACCCCTTCTCTACTAAAAATACAAAACTTAGTTGGGCATCGTGGCGGGCACCTGTAATCCCAGCTACTCGGGAGGCTGAGGCAGGAGAATTGCTTAAACCCGGGAGGCGGAGGTTGCAGTGAGCTGAGATGGCACCATTGCACTCCAGCCTGGGCGACAAGAGTGAAACTGTCTCAAAAAAGAATAAATAAATAAATAAATAAATAAATAAATAAATAAATAAATAGTGTCTACTGTGAGCATCCTTGCTAAAATGAACGAATGAATGAATGAATAGTATCTACTGGACTTGGACCTGGAATTCAGCTTCCAGGGCACTTTGGGTCCCAATTCTGCCATCTTGCTTGCTGGAATGGTACCCAGGTTCCTGCCATCAGCAATGTCGCCAGCACACTGGTCACACCTTCCCTCATCAAACCACCTTTAAACACACTGAATAGAACTCAGCTGATGGCAGTCCACTCACCAACCTCCTTAGCTGTCCCATCCCCCTGCCCATGTGGCTCTGTGTCATCTGCAAGGACCTGACCACAAGAAGAAAGAACAATTGCTTGCTGAAACTCAGAAGCAGTCTCCTGCTCCACCCCCGGTCTAATTTTGAGTCTAGAAAACTAATCAGAAAAGCAAAAAGCTTCCCCTAGTAGGGTGAGTTCTTAGGGAACCTACTCACCGATGCGGATCGTCCACGTCTTCCTTGTCTAAGTGCCCACACACCTCCTCTTTAATAACTGCTGACTCTGGAACTTGACTAGGACTGATGCTAAGTCCACCCATCTATAGTTTGCGGACACCACCTTCTTGCTCTTTGTAAAGAGGCTGGGCACAGTGGCTCACGCCTGTAATCCCAGCACTCTGGGAGGAGTTCGAGGAGTTCGAGACCAGCCTAGCCAACATAGTGAAACCCTGTATCTACTAAAAATACAAAATTAGCCAGGTGTGGTGACGCATGCCTGTAATCCCAGCTACTAGGGAGGCTGAGGCAGGAGAATCATTTGAACCCAGGAAACGGAGGTTGCAGTGAGCTGAGATTGTGCCATTGCACTCCAGCCTGGGCAACAAGAGCAAAACTCCGTCTCAAAAAAAAAAAAAAAAAAAAGAAAGAAAGAAAAAGAAAAAGAAATTACGCCCCTTTTCCCCCACTTCAAGTATAAACCTTATTCTCTGAGAGGCAGTGTGCATAGTAGTTGGGAGCACTGCCACTTACTAGCTGTAACTTAACCTCTGTGCCTCAGTTTCCTCATCTGAAAAACAAGGACAACAATAGTACCTAGATCATAGCATTGCTATGAAGATTAAATCAATTTATTCCTGCAAAGCATTTGCATGACACATAACGGGAACTAAAAAAATAACTATTGGCTGGGCACAGTGGCTCACGTCTGTCATCTCAGCACCTTGGGAGGCAGAGGCAGGAGAATGGCTTGAACCTAGGAGTTGACCAGCCTGGGCACAATAGGGAGACCCCATCTCTATAAAAATAAGAATAAAATGAAATAAATTAGCCATGCAAGGTGGTGCATGCCTATAGTCCCAGCTACTCAGGAGGCTGAACAGGATTCCTTGAGCCCAAAAGTTTGAGGCTGTAGTAAGCCATGATCATCCCATTGCAGTCCAGCCCGTGTGACAGAGTGAGACCCTGTCTCAAAATACATTAAATAAAATAATTAGAAACTATTGTGTTCACACCTGTAATCCCAGTACTTTGGTAGGCACAGGTGGGTGGATCATCTGAGGTCAGGAGTTCGAGACCAGCCTGACCATGGTGAAACCCCGTCTCTACTAAAAATATAAAAAATTAGCTGGGCGTGGTGCCACATGCCTGTAATCCCAGCTACTCAAGAGGCTGAGGGAGGAGAATCGCTTGAACCCTGGAGGCGGAGGCTGCAGTGAGCCAAGATCATGCCATTGCACTCCAGGCTGGGTAACAAGAGTGAAACTCCATCTCAAAAAAAAGAGAACTATTGTGGCTGAGTCAGGAGGATCACTTGAGCCCAGGGGTTCAAGGCCAGCATGGGCAACACAGTGAGACTCTATTTCTTAAAAAAAAATTAATATTCTATCACAAAAATGAATTCAGTCACTTATCTCAATGACTATATGGCAGACTCTTCTTCAAGTCCTCTGGCATGTAACCTTCCCATGTATGAAATCTGAAGTTATGTGGCCGGGCACAGTGGCTCACGCTTGTAATCCCAGCACTTTGGGAGGCCAAGGCGGGTGGATCACCTGAGATCAGGAATTCAAGACCAGCCTGGCCAACATGGTGAAAACCTGACTCTACTAAAAATACAAAAATTAGCCAGGTATGGTGGCGGGCATCTGTAATCCCAGCTACGCGGGAGGCTGAGGCAGGAGAATCGCCTCCAGGAGGCGGAGGTTGCAGTGAGCCAAGATCGTGCCATTACACTCCAGCCTGGACGACAAGAGCAAAACTCTATCTAAAAAAAAAAAACAAAAAAAAAAAACAAAAAAGTGGCTTTGATGGGGAAAGTGGAAAGAAAGTCCCCGGGTCGGGTGTGGCAGAGGCCTTGGGAAGCGCTGTGGCTGCAGAAGGGTTGCCAGGACGCCTCTGTTGTGACTGCCGATGCTGGCCATACGTGTCCAGTGCTGGGGGAAGAGTGGGCAGGGGTTTGGAGCAAGGATCTGGGTCAGAAAAAGCCCTCACCTCCCAGCCCCCTACCCAGACTCAGGATCCCAGCTGGACTCTCTGGCATGGGAAAGGAGGCGGACAAAGAAGGCACGGCTGGCTCCAGGTCAAAGCAAAGTGTGCCCAGCAAATTTACCTGCCACTCTCCCTCCAGAGAGGAAGGAACCAGGGATCTCCAGTCTTTGGTCTTTTGTTTTGTTTTGTTGGGTTTTTTGTTTGTTTTATGTTGTTTGTTGTTTGTTTGTTTGTTTGTTTTTTGAAACAGAGTCTCCCTCTGTTGCCCAGGCTGGAGTGCAGTGGTTCAACTGCGGCTCACTGCAACCTCTGCCTCCGGGGTTCAAGAGATTCTCCTGTCTCAGCTACTCAATCCCGAGTAGCTGGGATTACAGGCATGTGCCACCACGCTCAGCTAATTTTTGTATTTTTAGTAGAGACGAGTTTTCACCATGTTGGCCAGGCTGCTCTTGAACTCCTGACCTCAAGTGATCCACCCACCTCAGCCTCCCAAAGTGCTGGGATTACAGGCATGAGCCACTGAGCCCGACCAATCTCCAGGCTTTGTAAATCTCTGCAGTCATATTTCACTGGAGACTTATAATCTCCCAAGAGAAGTCAGGGAAAGTATGATCCTATCCGTTTTATAGAGGAGAAAGCAGAGGCAGTGAGTTGCCTCAGTGCATTCGAGGTGGGACAAGCATCCAGGCTGATAAATTCTTTCCTAGAAGGCCTCCCCATCACTGAGGGCAAAGTTCCCCATGGTGGATTTGTGGACCAGTGCGGAGCTCACTTCCTAAGTACCAGCTGAGAGGCCTGGGCCGAGGCCAAAGAATGTGAGGGTCAAGGCAGAAGGCCCCTTTACCTGGAGGGAGACTCGAGGTCAGCCCGGCTGAGGATGCGATGCTGCTGCGGGCTGTAGAGCCACTGGAAGGCTGTCAGCGTCCTCTCCTCGATTCGGAACCGCCCTTCCTGCACGTACCTGTGGGCAGGACAGGAGAGAGTGAGGAGGTGGCTGAGCTCTGCAGAGCTCCTTGGGAGAGTCAGCCCTGCTTGCCGGAGAATTGCTGAGGGGTACCTGTTTACAAATATCCCTCCTGCTCATCTGCCAGAAAGCCCTGTTTCCAGAGGGCCATCATTAAGATTCCCTGAAGAGGAGGCAGCTAGAAGGATCAGATTTCAACGCAATAAATGGAAAAGCTTTCCTTTCTTCTTCTTTTTTTTTTTTTTTTTGTTTTGAGACCGAGTCTCTCTCTGTTGCCCAGGCTGGAGTGCAGTGGTGCGATTTTGGCTCACTGCAACCTCCACCTCCCAAGTTCAAGCGATTCTCCTGCCTCAGCCTCCCAGGTAGCTGGGATTACAGGTGCCCACCACCACGCCTCGCTAATTTTTGTATTTTTAGTTGAGACGGGGTTTTACCATGTTGGCCAGGCTGGTCTCAAATTCCTGACCTCAAGTGATCCACCCGCCTTGGCCTCCCAAAGTCCTGGGATTACAGGTGTGAACCACTGCACCTGGCAGTAGATGGAAAAGCTTTCTAGAAGTTAGTTGTCTGAAGCTGAAAGAAGTCACTTGGAAGGAGTAAGTTCCCCGTCACTGGAGGTATGTAAGCAGAGGACACACAGGCAATTCAGGCATCAGGCAAGTGTCCATCCTTTAAGCCCCTTTACAGGGCTAAGACATTGGACTTATTTTTTCTTTTTTATTTTATTTTATTTTATTTTATTTATGTTATTTCATTTTATTTTATTTTTTTGAGATGGAGTCTCGCTCTGTCACCCAGGCTGGAGTGCAGTGGCGCGATCTCGGCTCACTGCAAGCTCCGCCTTCCAGGTTCACGCCATTCTCCCGCCTCAGCCTCCCGAGTAGCTGGGACTACAGGCGCCCACCGCCACGCCCGGCTAATTTTTTGTATTTTTAGTACAGACGGGGTTTCACCGTGTTAGCCAGGATGGTCTCGATCTCCTGACCTCGTGATCCGCCCGCCTCGGCCTCCCAAAGTGCTGGGATTACAGGCGTGAGCCACCGCACCCAGACCTTTTTTTTTTTTTTTTTTTTTTTTTTTTTTTTTTTTTTTTAGAGAAATGGTTTCACTTTCTCATCCAGGCTAGAGTGCAGTGGCGCAATTATAGTTCACTGAAGCCTCCAACCTGTGGACTCAAGCAATCCTCTCGCCTCGGTATCTTGAGTAGCTAGGACTGCAGGCACAAGCCACCCCACCCAGCTAATTTTCTTATTAAATTTTTTGTAGAGACAGGATCTTGCTATGTTGCCCAGGCTGGTCTTGAACTCCTGGCCTCAAGCGATCTTCCTGCCTGGGCCTCCCAAAGTGCTGGGTTTACAGGAGTGCACCACTGAGCCTAGCCATGGACTTCTTGATTTCACAGCAGGAGAAGGGCTACTCTGGAGCAGGGGTCAGGAGTCAGCAGTCAAGATTAGGTCTTCTAGAACCTCCAGGGTCTCTCCCAGGCTCCCAGCTGTTCTATGGAAGGATCAGGGAAGCTGGGCCGGGCACAGTGAACATAAAATGAAGGTGATCTCCCTCCTACCTTGGCCAACCCCTCCTGGAAGAACCATGAATCTATTCATTAATTCAACTCTTTTTTTTTTTTTTTTTTGAGACAGAGTTTCGCTCTTGTTGCCCAGCCTAGAGTGCAATGGCTTCATCTCAGCTCACTGCAACCTCTGCATCCCAGGTTCATGTGATTCTCCTCCCTCAGTCTCCTGAGTAGCTGGAATTACAGGCACCCACCACCATGCCCAGCTAATTTTTGTATTTTTAGTAGAGATGGGGTTTCACCATGTTGGCCAGGCTGGTCTGGAACTGCTGACCTCAGGTGATCCGCCCACCTTGGCCTCCCAAAGTTCTGGGATTGCAGGCGTGAGCCACCACGCCCAGCCTAATTCAACATTTATTGAGGGCCTATGATGATAAAGAAAACTGACATAGTCCCTGCCCTCCTGTGGGGAGAGAAACCATACAATAATCACATAAATACATGTATAATTACAAACAGGCACTCTGATACATTATCAGTGGGAATGTCACTTGGTACAACCGCTCTGAAGGACAACCTGACAACATCTGTCTGAATTCCAAATGCATTTCCCTTTTATCCCAATAATCCCCTCTTTGGGGAATTTACCTAGGGATTCCAGCAAGTGGACAATGCTTGCTGTGGGATTGTCTATAATAGCAAAAGACTGAGGGCGACCCATGCACCCTTCAGTAGGGAGCTAAATAAATTATAATAAAGAAATAAAAAGCTATAATAAATTGGCCACGTACGGTGGCTCACGCCTGTAATCCCAGCACTTTGGGAGGCCGAGGCAGATGGATCACGAGGTCAGGAGATTGAAACCATCCTGGCTAATACGGTGAAACCTCGTTTGCTAAAAATACAAAAGAAATTAGCTGGGCGTGGTGGCAGGTACCTGTAATCCCAGCTACTCGGGAGGCTGAGGCAGGAGAATAGCGTGAACCTGGGAGGCGGAGCTTGCAGTGAGCCAAGATCGTGCCACCGCACTCCAGCCTGGGAGAGAGAGTGAGTCCATCTCAAAAAAAAAAAAAAAGCTATAATAAATTATGGTACATCCATATAGTAAAGCCATGTGTGGCCATAAAAGATGTTGTAAATGAGGGTGTTCCCATGTGCTATCCTGCCAAGATCTCCAAGGCACATTGTTCAGAGGAAAAAATCAAGTGCAGGGCCTCATGCGTGATTGACATTAAAAAGGGGGCAGGGAATAAAGTGGGAATTCATACTCGCTTATCTTTACCTGTAGAAACTCTGGAGACACAAAAGCTAATAAAAGTCACCTCCTGGGTTGGGGGAAGAGAGAAGAGGGTGGATGAGGGCATGGGAAAGTGACCTTTTCACAACGTATCTTCTCACACAGGAGAGAGATTACCTATTCCAACCTTTTTTTTTTTTTTTTTTTTTTTTTTTTAACAGAGTCTCACTCTGTTGCCCAGGCTGGAGTGCAGTGGCATGATCTCAACTCACTGCAACCTCTGCCGCCCGGGTTCAAGTGATTCTCCTGCCTCAGCCTCCCAAGCAGCTGGGATTACAGGCATCTGTCACCACACCCGGTTAATTTTTGTGTTTTTAGTGGAAACGGGGTTTCACCACCTTGGCCAGGCTGGTCTCGAACTCCTGACCTCGTGATCCACCCACCTCGGCCTCCCAAAGTGCTGGGATTACAGACGTGAGCCACCACGCCTGGCCACCAATTCCAAATCTTTAACGAGGGAGAAGACTGGAGGGGTGCCTGCCTGTCAGCCTGTATCATTACAAACTGGATAAAGTGCTATGAAAAAAAAAAAACTGTGCAGCTGCCCTGATGTTGCCCAGTGGGGCACAGGGGATTTGCTGGGGGAGGGGACTTCCCATAAGTCCTCCCCGGGGAGAGGCAGTTTGAGCTGAGCTCTAAAGGACAAGATAAGGAGGACCCTGTTAGACAGTTGGGGCTGCTACAATCAAATAGCATAGACTGCATGGCTTAAATGACAGAAATGTATCTCTCAGTTCTGGAGGCTGGGATGTCCTAAGGTTGAGGCGCCAGTGCCTGGTGAGGGCCCTCTTCCTGGCATGCAGACGCCCATTGCATCCTCACATGGCAGGGACACAGAGCATCTCTCTCATGCATCTTCGTATACAGACACTAATCCCATTCATGAGGGCTCCACTTTTTTTTTTTTAGACGGAGTCTTTCTCTGTCACCTGAGCTGGAGTGCAATGGCGTGATCTCGGCTCACAGCAACCTCCACCTCCTGGGTTCAAGCAATTCTCCTGCCTCAGCCTCCCAAGTAGCTGGGACAATTTTTTGTATTTTTAGTAGAGATGGGCTTCTGCCATGTTGGCCAAGCTGGTCTCGAACTCCTGACCTGGTGATTCGCCCACCTGGCCTCCCAAAGTGCTGAGATTACAGGCGTGAGCCAGTGCGTCTGGATGTGGGCTCCACTTTCAAGACCTCTCTCCCTCCCAAAGGCCCCGTCTCCTAAACCCATCACAGTGCGGGGCTAGGATTTCAACCTATGAATTTCCGGGGACACAAACATTCAGTTCATAACAAGGACTCACTGGGAGAAAGGCGCCGTGGTAGAATGGGCCCCAGGGTGCAGAGGACGCACAGTGTCCCGGATCTAAAAGAGGTTGGGTTGCTGCAGAGCACAAGGCTGCCACCGCCCCCATGGCCGCCCAACCACAGCATCTGTCCTCGCCGGCCTCTTTCCACTCTCCTCCACATAATGCAGTGGGTGTGTTGAGAAGATCATCCTGGCTGCTGGGTGGAAAATAATAGGACGGCCAGGTTAGACGCTTTGTTTGTTTGTTTGTTTGGAGACAGGTTCTCACTCTGTCACCCAGGCTGGAGTGCAGTGGTGCAATCTTGGCTCACTGCAACCTCCACCTCCCGGGTTCAAGCAATTCTCGAGCCTCAGCCTCCCGAGTAGCTGGGATTACAGGGGCGCAGCACCATGCCTGGCTCATTTTTTTGTATTTTTAGTAGAGAGGGGGTTTCACCATATTGGCCAGGCTGCTCTTGCTCAAACTCTTTTTTTTTTTTGAGACAGAGTCTCCCTCTGTCGCCCAGTCTGGGGTGCAGTGGCGCGATCTCAGCTCACTGCAAGCTCTGCCTTCTGGGTTCACACCATCCTCCTGCCTCAGCCTCCCAAGTAGCTGGGACTACAGGCGCCCACCACCATGCCCGGCTAATTTTTTGTATTATTTTAGTAGAGACGGGGTTTCACCATGTTAGCCAGGATGGTCTCGATCTCCTGACCTCAAATGATCCGCCTGCCTCAGCCTCTCAAAGTGCTGGGATTACAGGCGTGAGCCACCGCGCCCTCTCTGTTTTTTAGAAACAGGGTCTCAATATGTTGCCCAGGCTGGTCTCCTGGGCTCAAGCGATCCTCCTGCCTCAGCTTCCTGAGTAGCTGGGATTACAGGTGTTAGCTACCACTCCCGGCTCAGGTAAGATGGGGCGACTTGAGAATGTGCTAAGGAAGTGGTGTTGGCAGGACCTGGTGCTGGGCTGGACACAGGTGAGAAGACAGGCAGCAACATCATTCCCCCGTTCCTGGTTTGTGCAGGTGGCTGGCTGCGGAGCCATCTGTACTGGATGAGGACAGCTTTGAGAGGAAAGATTATGACTTCCATTTGGGACATGTCCCTCCTCTGTGACCTGCTTCCTGCCCCAAAGTGACTCCCCTCCTGTAAAACCTGGCTCAAAAGTAGGCTCCTCCAGGAGCCCATCCTATTCTGAGCATGAGTAATTAGGCTCCTCCAGGAAGCCCACCCTGATTAATCCCATCCTATTCTGAGCATGAGTGTCCCTGACTTTCCCCATCGTTGGGTTCCTCAGAATTCAGCCCTGGGTGACAGACTCTTGCCATCTCTGTGGGAGAAACTGATAACACTGATGAACTGGTAAACCTGGTTGCCTCCGAGGAGGGAGATTAGTGCCTGGGGAGCCCTGTCACTGCTTTAGACCCTTTTGAATGAGAACCATGTGACTATATTGTATTTTTATTTTTGAGATGGAATCTCACTCTGTTTTTATTTTTATTTTTTTATTTATTTATTTTTGAGACGGAGTCTCGTTCTGTCACCCAGGCTGGAGTGCAGTGGCATGATCTCAGCTCACTGCAACCTCCACCTCCCAGGTTCAAGCAATTCTCCTGCCTCAGCCTCCTGAGTAGCTGGGATTATAGGTGCCTGCCACCACACCCAGCTAATTTTTGTGCTTTTAGTAGAGACGGGGTTTCACCATGTTGGTCAGGCTGGTCTCAAACCCCTGACCTCATGATCCACCCGCCTCGGCTTCCCAAAGTGCTAGGATTACAGGCGTGAGCCACCGCGCCTGGCCTTCTATTTTTATTTTTTGAGACAGAGTCTTGCTGCGTCGCCCAGGCAATGGCGCAATCTAGGCTCACTGCAACCTCCACCTCCCAGGTTCATGCAATTCGCCTGCCTCAGCCTCCCGAGTAGCTGGGATTACAGGCGCCCGCCACCATGCCCGGCTAATTTTTGTATTTTTAGTACAGACAGGGTTACACCATGTTGGCCAGGCTGGTCTCAAACTCCTGACCTCAAATGATCCACCCGCCTCAGCCTCCCAAAATGCTGGGATTACAGGCGTGAGCCACTGCGCACAGCCTATTTTATATTTTTTAAAAGGTAAATACCTTTTTTTTTTAATTTAAGATATCTTCTGATTATGACATCATCGTAGGTTGCTAGGGCCAGAAAAATCCCAAGAAGTCACTCATCTGGTCCAGCAGCTTTATTTTATAGATGAGGACGTGAGACCCAGCAGAGGCACAGGGTCTCTCCCGGGCTGACAGACCACACATCACATCATGCTGTCCTTGATCCCACCGGGCACACACAGGTCCCCAGGCTGAAAGAAGAGCAGGCTCACTCAGGAGCCATCTCCCACTCCAACCCCATCACTCACCCTTTCCACTG